>NC_000010.11:2888787-3040303 GCF_000001405.40 Homo sapiens | reverse complement strand
ACCACATCCCCTTGGTTATTTTAGTGTTTGTAATATGTCTTGACATAAGTTCTCCTATCTTCTTCCTCTTTCTTTTTGACTGGATCATGTTCTTTTTAAACCTATGATAATAATAGCTTTCTAAGGAAATTTGGCTGCAGTTTCAATTTATTTTGCATTACTTTCCTTTTCTTTTTTCCTTTTTTTTTTTTTTTTTTTGAGACGAAGCTTCACTCTTGTTGCCCAGGCTGGAGTGCAATGACATGATCTTAGCCCACCACAACCTCCGCCTCCTGAGTTCAAGCGATTCTCCTGCCTCAGCCTCCCGAGTAGCTGGTAGTACAGGCATGTGCCACCACTCCTGGCTAATTTTGTATTTTTAGTAGAGACAGGGTTTCTCCATGTTGGTCAGGCTGGTCTCGAACTCCTGACTTCGGGTGATCCACCAGCTTCAGCCTCCCAAAGTGCTGGGATTACAGGTGTGAGCCACTGCGTCCAGCCCTACTTGGCATTACTTTTCATTTGTCTTTCTTCATTTATGGGTTATGCCAGTAAAACAGCTTTCAATTGAATCTTAAATTCTATCTACTTTGACACACCACTATTTTATGTATCAGTCAGAAAGAAAGAAGTCTCTGATTGTAAGTTGCATCCTGAGATGGAGATGTTAAAATGTTAAACATGTATTTTATATTAATATAAAATGGCCAATGTTAGAAAATTATCACGAAAAGGAAAAATTCATCCAGATTTCACGGTCCTCAGAGAACTGGATAATTTCTTTGACTTCATGAATGAGCAGAATTTCTTTTAGCTACTTTGAATTTGTTTCTGCCTCTCTATAAAGTCTAGTACATATATCTTTACATTTAGGCAGCTGTATTAGTCCATTTTCACACTGCTAATAAAGACACACCTTTATCAGGCTGGGTAACATAAAGAAGAAGAGGTTTAATGGACTCACAGTTCCATGTGGCTGGGGAGGCCTCTCAATCATGGTGGAAGGCTAAAGGCACATCTTACATGGTGGCAGACAAGAGAAAATGAGAGCCTAACGAAAGGGGAAACCCCTTATCAAACCATCAGATCTCATGAGACATATTCACTACCACGAGAATATTATGGGGGAAACCTCCCCGCCGTGATTCCATCATCTCCCACCAGTTCCTCACATAACACATGGAAATTATGAGAGCTACAATTCATGAGATTTGGGTGGGGACACAGCCAAACCATATCAGCAGCAAAATACATGGATGATTTCTGGTGCCGTCTTTCACATTTTATTTATGTTTGTTTTTTTGGTTTTTAGAAGCATTTCGATTTCCTTCCACAGTAACCAATTTGTTGAGTTTGCTATGTGTAAAATGACTTGCACAGAGGCACACACATTGTAACTGCTCTTCTCCTTAGGGGTTCATGTCTTGTAGCTCCACTGGCTTTGACTTTGGGCTGTTCCATTAACCTTTACTGTGACCCCTTTTTTGCTAGGTTATTCTGCTTATCCCCTGAGAAATGTATCAGGTTTATAGTTAAGAAGACATGGGTAATTTTGTGAGGATTATAGGATTATGTTTTTGTCATATGAACAGAGCTGAAGTGTGTGGAGGCACACTCTGGGTGCAAGGCATGGTCTGCAGGATTTATGTGTGTGATCTCATTTAAGCCTCATAAGGGTCTTAAAAGGTTGGAGTTCCGGGCCCACGTGCTGAGGATCAGGGAGGTAAGTGCCTTTCAAGTGGTCATATGGTGGTGCTGGAGGGGACAGGATGGAAGCCTGCATGCTCTCTGGTTCCAAGGCCAGGTTCCTCATGCCCCCTCCATCCCCCAGGAAGGTTCATCGTGGACTCTGGACACAAATTATGAATCTAAGTTGGCAATTCTAGAAGAGTCATTCTGCAGCATCTCAATTCTGATAAATGAAGCTTTTATAATAAACCACAATTTCAGGCTTATCTCTATTTAAACAGAAGGTATTTGGCTGCCAATCTTTTATTCATGATCTAACTTTACTTCTTTTTTTTTTTTTTTTGAGATGGAGTTTCACTCTGTCACCCAGGCTGGAGTGCAGTGGCACGATCTTGGCTCACTGCAACCTCTGCCTCCCAGGTTCAGGCGATTCTCCTGCCTTAGCCTCCTGAGTAGCTAGGATTACAGGTGTGCGCCACCATGCGTGGCTAATTTTTTAATTTTTTAATTTTTTTTTTTTTTAGTAGAGATGAGGTTTCACCATGTTGGTCAGGCTGGTCTCAAACTCCTGACCTCGTGATCTGCCCACCTTGGCCTCCCAAAGTGCCGGGAATACAGGCATGAGCCACAGTGCCCGGCCCCTTCTCTTATTCTTATGGAATGGCTAAGAAAAGTATATATTTTTAATTTTTCAATATTTGGTACTTGTGGCTACTGTTATCAGCCTCAGTTCTGAAGCCAGGTGGATATTCCAGAGCCGGAAATATCCTAGCCTGTCACATCATTAGGGACACTTCCACTCTCCTGAACTGCTGTTTTCCCACATTTTCCTCCTCCTGTGTTTCCCTAGCCATGAGCTAGTGTATTGTTCACGCATATTTACCATTCCCTGAAGTCCATTTTCTCCTCCTTTCTTGAAGACTTGTTATCTAATGCTCCGAAGGGATATGACCACCATAGATGCCAGCTCATGTGCTCATCCTTCTTGTATTAAATGCACCTTCTTATTGTGATGCTTTGACATCTTGGGGTCTGTGGACTCTGGAGGAACACCCCTCCCAGGGTTACTCATTCCTGGAGACCAAACAACTCACCTTTCGGATGCAAACCAACCAATCCAGAGGCAATACCCCCAACCATCTCTTTCACTGGGCTCTTATGCTCCAAGGCTGCCATCCACCTGCCCTGCACCCCAATGCCAGGTGCCAGACAAGCAGGGATAGCTACCGTGTCCGGAGCCTCTGAACTGATTCAAATCAGCCAACCCCAAGCCTGTCACTCTGCCTCTCCATTCCTTCCCAGGGAAACCACAAGGGAGGCTCTGGCCCATGTTTCTCCCCAACCCCTTCTGCCTCCTGACCTACCGTGGTGCCTCCCCAGGTACCCTCCTGCCAGGCTTGGTGTACACCCTCCTCTTAGACACTGAAAGTAACAAACTACCTTTTAAATGATGGTTGTCTCCTGACATATTGGCTTCACCATGCCTAAATAAGAATAAAAACGTTCATTATAAGACACTTCTCCAACAAGTATTCCTTTCTTTAGTAGGGAAATATGTGCAAACCAAACTAGAAGTATATATGTCACACATTCTGTATGCTGTGGAAACATGGGTACCCTACGAACTATCAAATTCAAACAGAAACATTTAAGGCTAGAGACTGTGTGCCTCTGTATCTTATGCATCGAAATATTTGCTTTGGGAACAAAATGGGTCCTTCTTGCTTAAGGGTTTATAAGATAACATATTCATACAAAATATTCTCCTTTAGCAGGAAGTACCTTACACAGCCATGGCTTCATTATAATGAATGCACAGTATGAGTAATTTGTAAATGCAGAACAATGTTTTTCTTCAGAATCTTACATTTCAAATTTGCTGAAAAATCTCTCTCTGAAGTGGACCATTTCCCTGCACAGATGGTGTTGCACTATGAAGACACAAGTAGCTATCCATCATGGTGTAGGTTGAAACTCTCTTTTGTGATGCTAAGGCAATCATGTCACATAAAATCCTCCACTGAATGCTTCCCATTATACATCTGGTCAGCCAATATGTAAAGGTAATCATGGAGTCTTAGACGTCTTCTCATAATGTTTAACCCGTGTGACATTGAGCTTGAAATGATTAAATGTTCCTGGTAGTACTGGTGTGTGTGTGTATGAGTGTATATGTGTGTGTGAAAGAAAGAGACAGAGAGAGGAGTCTAATGTTATCACAGAAGGCACATCATGGTGCTACTAAAACGAAGGATTCATTTTCAGTTCCTCTTCTCACTAGAAAGTGATTTCCTGGTAAAAGTGAGCCTAAAACACCACCCTCATTGCCATGGTAGAGAGATGAAAACAAACCGCCTACGGGGAACACAGGACAAGTATGCCCGGGTTAGAGAAGCATAATTCCAAAACTACTCAGGGCTGGCAGGGGAGTTACACAGCTCAGCATTCATCCCTGGATATGCAGACCATACCTTGAATAAGTTTATAAGCAACAATTAAATGTTGAAATAAATATCTTGAAAGGAGAAGCAGATATTTCAGGGTGGACGAGGTCTGAGAATTGAGTGGGGTTTAGACAAAAATGTCATCAGCAGAGAGCATTCCTGGCTGATCCAAAGAGAAAGTTCTCACTGATCTTTTTCTGAGAGAAACAGAGTGAATGGGATCAGAATCTACTTAATATCTTTATAGCTCATATTCTATTGACTACTAGGAAACAATTGTTCCAGTATAGTTGTTGTTTTCATGAAGCTTGACTTAAATGAATTGCTTTGAAAATACTGGGTTGACATTATCTAGCAGTGAAGGATGTGGTGTCAAGGAATATAAAACATCAGGTTAAAAACTACCTTAAGAAATTGGTCTTTAAGATTCCTGACTAAGGGTGTTGTGGTACATGAGGTGATATGGTTTGGCTCTGTGTCCCCACCCAAATCTCACCTGGAATTGCAATAATCCCCATGTGTCATGGGAGGGACCTGGTGGGAGGTAATTGAAAAATGGGGGAGGGTTCTTTCCCGTGCTGTTCTCGTGACAGTAAGTCTCACGAGATCTGATGGTTTTATAAAGGGGACGTCCCCCCCACATGCTCTCTTGCCTGCCGCCACATAAGACATGACTTTGCTCCTCATTCAGCTTCCGCCATGATTCTGAGGCCTCCCCAGCGACGTGAAACTGTAAGTCCATTTAACCTCTTTGCTTTATACATTACCCAGTCTTGGGTCTGTCTTTGTTAGCAGTGTGAGAGCAGACGAATACATAAGGATGCTGCTTTATTTTTCACAACCATCGTTACTCAGTCCTAAGTGTTTCTCTTCATCGAATGAAGACAACGTTTGCTTTGGAGAGGGAATGAATTAATGAAGACTCCGAGCTCTTGGAATGAGCTCCGTGAGATGATGCTGAATCCTGATGAATATCTTTTGGTGCTGGGAGTTCTCTCTGGATATGAGGTCCCTATGTTTATAGATAAATTAGGCCCATAAATACTGAGGTGGAAGGAAAGGAAAAGTCCCCCTACAGATGTGTAAATGAATGACTTGACTCAAACTTTTTTTTAAAATTTTTTTTTAAGAAAAGACGCTCCAAGACATAGGAGCAATCAATGTTACTGTTAAAGGAGGGGGCAGGCTTCAATGTTATCGTGAAGGACACTGGAATGTTGCTGTTTATTAATTTTGGGTTGTTTTACTTTTGTAGAAGGGGAAGTTGAGATAGTTGGCATGCAAAGCACATGTTGTCAGCTTTAGCTATTTTAATCGCAGTGAGAAATGGAATTAACTGCTGAACCAAAACCACTGGAGAATAATTAGGGTCACTATTTTTCCTGAATCATGGATTTCCTAATCTTCAGAAGACTCGGGCATTTTGACTCATTTGACTACTTCAGTTTCCTCAAATTTTCTTATTAAAACTATTTAAAATAATATAGCAATAAAGAGGAACTTCCAACAATACCTCTTCACTGTATCTCAGCGTCTACTTTGTTGAACAAGAATACCATGAATGTCTGACCTTTACATCGTTGAAACTTTTTTCTAAAAATCAGTCATGCTTGATCCAGAAGATAATTTATATCCTTAAAGTCTCCTTTCACAAGAGTTCTGTGGGTGCACTGAGGAACACAAGGCTTTATCTATTATAGAAGGTAAAAGAATGTCCACGAACAACCTTTTGTTCTCCCAAGTTGGTCACCTTTACTAATTACATCCAGCAAGTCCTGGGCAGATCCTAATATGACCTAACTTAGAATCCTATTGGTCAGTCTGGGGATCTTCTCCTAAAGAAGTTTGGTACTGGCAAATACTAGGTCTCAGTAACATGATCCCAATGTGAGCATTGTCTCTTGTACTGACATTTCTATTTTACTGATTTTTTTTTTGTAAGTGTTGTGCTGTGTGCCAGGCACCACGCCAAGCCCTTTAGCATTTCTAATTTACGTAATCATCCTAATAACCTCATGAGGAAAGTGCCATAGTGTTCCCACTCACTGGACAAGGACACTGAGAGAGACGCCATCTGCCTATTTGTCCATGGCACCAGGGCTGTGCCTCCCTGGGCTCGTGGGCCATGGGCTGCAGCACAGCCTCTGCTGTTATTCTTAAGGACCTCTTGATATGCAGTCAGTTTTCTATTTCTTTCTTTTTTTTTTTTTGGTTTGTTTGTTTTTGAGACGGAGTCTCACTCTGTCACCCAGGCTGGAGTGTAGTGACATGATCATGGCTCACTGCAACCTCCACCTCCTGGGTTCAAGCGATTCTCCTGTCTCAGCCTCCCGGGTAGCTGGAACTACAGGCACACACCACCACACCTGGCTAATTTTTGCATTTTTAATAGAGACGGGGTTTCAGCATGTTGGCCAGGCTGGTCTCGAACTCCTGACCTCAAGTGATGCGCCTGCCTCGGCCTCCCAGAGTGCCAGGATTACAGGTGTGAGCCACCTGCCTGATCTGGTTTTATATTTCTAAATGTAATAGAACGTAATTTCTGGATAAAGAGTTTGGGCTGTTGAGCCAGATTTGGGTTTGAATTGAGCTCAGCTGCTTATTAGCTGGGCGAAGTTCAGAAACATGGTCACTTTCCTTTGAGTCTTTGTCTTATCTGTGACATAAAAATAAGTCAACCTGTAGGGATAATGACATAATTAGAAAAAAATACACCAAACACTACAGATGGCACCTGACTCTTAGTAGCACTTGGTAGGACCTATTTAATAATGATCGATTAAATATTAATAATAAGGCAAACAGGGATAGAAAAAATGTGGCTACAAACAAGAGACCTGGAAATCACCACCCCATCCACAAACAATTGGGTCAATAATTGAATGCTGTTTTGTTTTCCAATCCTACCAGCTTCAATAAATATAGACTGCCGTATCTCTATGCATCAGACATGTCCATCCTTTGGTTGAGCGAGACACAGGGTGAGTGAGTCTTACTGCATTTACTTTTCCCCCCTGTAACATGTAATCGGTCTCTTGTTTTCTCGAATTGATCAGTTTCAGAATGGCTTCCAAGATATTCATGGAATAACAAACTATTTATTGGTGGCAGAAATATCGTATCCTCAGCCTTCAATGGGCTCAAAGGAAAAAACACCTGCTCCTTAAGTCTCCATGGGCTCAGCTCTTGATCACCGGCTTCTTGAACAACAGTCCCATCTGTGTGGCGGTCCTGATGTTGTATTTTATATTTTATTAAAATACACAGGTGATACGCACTCGCAGGTGCATACATGTCCTATCCTGGTCTGTGATTTTTCTGTCCAAGATGGTGGCTGTTGTACCCTTGATTTTCTGAAGTCACCAGCACACAGCCTCAGTGCCAGTGGTCATCAGCCGTGTTATCAGCTTTCAGGTATGAATTGCCATCACTTTATTGTTTTCTTACTTGGCATGCTTTTTTTTTCAATAGTTTTTGGGGTAGAAGTAGTTTTGTTTACACATTTTTTAGTGGAGATTCCTGAGATTTTAGTGCACCTGTCACCCAAGCAGTATACACTGTACCCAAGGTGTAGTCTTTTATCCCTCAGACCCCAACCTTCCCCCCCGCCGAGTCCCCAAAGTCCATCATATCATTCGTATGTCTTTGCATCCTCATAGCTTAGCTCCCACTTATAAGGGAGAGCATACGATATTTGGTTTTCCATTCCTGAGTTACTTCACTTAGAATAATGGCTTCCAGCTCCATCTGAGTTGCTGCAAAAGACATTATTTTATTCCATTTAATGGCTGATAACATTCCACAATGTATATATACCACATTTTCTGCATCCACTCATTGGTCGACGGGCACTTAGGTTGGTTCTGTATCTTTGCTATTGTGAATTGTGCTGCCATAAACATGCATGTGCAAGAGTCTTTTTCATAGAATGACTTCTTTTCCTTTGGGTAGATACCGAGCAGTAGGATTGCTGGATAGAATGGTAGTTCTACTTTTAGTTCTTTAAGAAATCTCCATACTGTTTTCCATAGTAGTTGTATTAATTTACATTCCCACCAGCATGTAAAGGTGTTCCTTCTTCACCATATCCATGAAGACATCCATTGTTTTTTGACATTTTAATCATGGCCATTCTTGCGGGAGTAACATGGTATCTCATTGTGGTTTTGATTTTCATTTTCCTGATGATTAGGGATGTTGAGCATTTTTAATGTGTTTATTGGCTGTATATCTTCTTTTGAGAAATGTCTATTCACGTCTTTTGCCCACTTTTTGATGGAATTATTTGTTTTTTTCTTATTTGTTTGAGTACCTTGTAGATTCTGGATACTAGTCCTTCGTTGGATGCTTAGTTTGTGAATATTTTGTGGGTTTATTCTGCTGATGGTGTCTTTTGCTGTGCAGAAGCTTTTTAGTTTAATTAAGTTTCATTTGTTTACTTGTGTTTTTGTTATATTTGCTTTTGGGGTCTTAGTCATGAATTCTTAGCCTAAGCCAATGTCCAGAAGAGTTTTATGATGTTATCGTCTAGTATTTTTGTGGTTTCAGATCTTAGATTTAAGTCTTTGATAAACGTTGAGCTGATTTTTGTAGAATTGGAGAGATGGGGACCCAGTTTCATTCTTCCACGTGTTTGCTGTCACTTCTGATATGCATACAGCAATTTGAATTGACACTGTACATTAACCAGTAAGGTAAGTGTTTCTGTTTCTATTTATTCTAAAGCTTCACATTGATGGTTAAGAAGGGAAGCAATAGGTCACATTTTAAGCTAAGAAGCCTTTTTTTCATATTTTAAAATAATTAAATAGCATGATCACTGTTGAAAACAATCACTTAGGTTTTAATTTATTTAAAATACTGATAAGAATGTGCAATACCTCTTCACTGTTCTGTATTTGGACATAAAAGCAAAGCCTAGTAAACTTGACATGTTTGTCCTAATGGGAAACATGACATTCTTTTAGGATCAACTATAACAATCTATAATTTAAATATTGTTAATGTAATATAATGGGCATGTACAGCCAACTAAAATCTGGCGGCAAGAAGGAAATCTCTCTCTCTCTCTCTCTCTCTCTCTCTCTGTGCTCCTTTATTTCAATTGTTTTTAATATTTAAAAACCAGCTTGAAGGAGAGATTCTCAAACAGTTTAGATTCTGGAAACAAAACTCAGGATAAACATGACATTCCTAAGATAACTAGTTTGTCTTGAATGAACAACTCCCAAACTATTTCTGAGGCCTTCGCTTAACGTGATAACAGCAGTGGATCCCACCCTGACTAATGCAGGCACCCCTCACTCTGCATCATGCAGGGGATTGAACTAAAAGCAGTCAGTGTTTGTTTTTTTAAATGAATTAAACCTTGGCCTATCATTTCTCGAAACTGCCGGGTTATATGGATAATGTGTTGATAATTTGCTCTACAATCAAAAGTAAATATTTTTTTCTAGAAGAAACAGAGCAGAAATATGATTGCATGTTTCAAATCTAAGATTAAAGCAGCTTGAGAGTTTTAAGAATGGTATTTAATTATTTGTGGCATTCTGTTGACATTTAAAAAAATAAATTTAAAGCAGTTGATGTTGGGGGCAGCTAAATGCAGACTGTGACAATTATTTTCAGGTTACATGGCCTTTTTGATATTGTATTTCTAACGGACATTGACAGACATCTTTGCCTGCACATGTTTTAGAGGTGAATAAATATTTAGTTCAATCTGATCACTGCCAGTTTTCTGATTTTGAGCCTCTTAAAATGAGGATTTATTTATACTAAATCCAATATTGTCCTTGGGAAGCAATATTTTACAAGCAAATAGATTAATGAACAGACTATGAGTTAGTACCTAGCTGAGTATGATCAAGCCAGTTTGAAGACATTAGTCTCCAAACTCTGGCAATCCCATTTGGTTTACCATTTAAATTAATACATTGTACCAATGGTGGGACTGAGGGTCTATCTCAACGGGGGCGTGCACAGGAGAATAAGGAGATGGCATGGATTGATGTTTCTGTTTTTTCTTTTTTTCCAAAACATACTTTCAAGATGAGCTCTGATTTTGCTCTGACAGCCTGGGGATGAGGAGCAAGTTGACAAAATGCTGCAACTTCTGAGGAGGAAAAATAAATCTTACCTAGGAAAGCCTTAGCTTCCCTTAAATAAGGCGGAAGAATTGAGAGTGATCCACAACACTGGTTGTGGTATGGTGGTCATTGCATGGCATTAATTATCATAGGTAGATGAGTTATTTTATTTGTTGAGTTTATTTGTGTAGTCTAGTTTAAATGAGCGAAAATGCTCAATGTGTCATTTTACTCTGAGCTATACCAGTTCTTTCTTTAACTGGACCTTTGAGGATTACATCTGCTCTCCTATTAAGTTGGTGCAAAAGTAATTGCAGTTTTGCAGTTATTTTTACACCAACCTAATATCTACTCTCCAATCCCAAGTGCCACCGCAGGGGTGTGCTGTGTATATCCTCACTGGGATGAGTGAGACCCCGGAGCAGCATCTTACAAGGAACCCTTTTAGGACGCTCACATGAAATCCTCCCCTTTTTCCTTCTCCCTCTATTATCTGCGGCCCCGGTCACCATCTGTTACACTACACATTTATTTCCTGATTGTCTCCTCTCACCTCTACAGCCTGCACTGTCCAGTAGGGCTGGGATGGTTGTTTTGTTTTGTATTTTTTCCACTGGTTTTTAATGAATACCCTGGACAGTGCCTGACACCTGGCACGAATTCTATATGTATTTTTGGAATGAAGTTCATGAATTACTCAGCATAAAAAGCAGGAGTGGAGACACTGGTTCCCTGCAGAGGACTTGCAGAATAGTGAGTTTCTTGACTATTTTTGAATTTCACAGACCAGTAACATTTTCAACATTTTGGAGAATGACAGAGGCTCATAAATTTCAATTTGGCTAATAAGGATTTTAAAGCAAACAAACAAAGCTATTATCTGATATTACCATAATTTCATAAAAGAGTTTTAAAATTGGTGCCAGGAAATGCCCGTATTTCTGGAATTGGGTGGTGTGCTTGTGTGTGTGTGAGGTGCATGCATGGTGTATCTGCTTAAGCAAAGGCAACGTCTTACTTTTGAACACTATAATTCCATTATTCTGGATGTTGCTCTGAGGGTGTTTGTAGATGAGATTTACCTATAAATCCCTGCACTTTGAGTAAAGCAGATCTCCCTTCCTAATGTGGGCAGGCCTTATCCAAGCAGTTGAGGGCCAGAAGAGAACAAAGGCTGGCCTCCCCTGAACTGCCAGTATTCTGTGGCAGATGGCACTTGGATTTGAACCTCAGTCTCCTCTGGGTCTGTGGCTTGCCACCCACGCCACAGGTTTTGGACCTGCTAAGCATCCAGGATCTCCTGATACAATTCCTTAATATCTCTCTCTCCATCCTTCCCTCTCTGTAGGCATCTTGTTCGCCTGTTTCTCTGCAGAAGACTGACTAGTGCATTGGCCTGGGCAGTACTTAGCGGGTCGGGAGTGGGCGGGAATGGTGTGCGTTTTGAGTGTGGTGGTGTGGGTGTGATACAGTTGAAGCGGAGGGGAACTTACGATCCAGCTGCCCGGGATTCAAGTGTCCACCTCCTGTTTATTAGCTGGGTGAGCGTGGGCGGCTCACATAACCAGCCTGGAGGCAGGCTGTGTAAAATGGCACAGACCTGCCACATCAGTGGGAAAAGATGACTGAATAGAAACACCATTGTTAGGGTGACTGGGGAAAGGCCTGCCTGATTTTGTTCTTGAGAAATCAGGACAGATGACTGAAGTCATGATATCATTCTTATGTCATGACTATGTCACAAATGTGAGCATTTATGGTCCGAAACACTGCTTTCACAAATTTAACCTTATATACAAGGGCTTCATAGACTGAACGCTAAATTACATCATTTGAACTTGCCTGAACTCACATAACTCTCACTGGATAAAGGTAAGTTTCATAATTCATATCTAAGATATTTTTGATAGCTTTTAAAATAAAAATCTTTTATGACTGAGTGTGTTTGTCTGTTCTTGCATTGGTACAAGGAAATACCTAAGATTGAGTGATTCATAAAGAAAAGAAGTTTAATTGGCTCAGGGCTCTGCAGGCTGTACAGGTAGGATGGCACCAGCATCTGCTTAGTGTCTGCGGAGGCTCAGGGAGCTTTCAGTAATGGCAGAAGGTGAAGTGGGAGTCGGCTTCTCACCTGGCCAGAGCGGGAACAGGAGAGGAAGAGTAGGGGAGGTGCCACACTCTTAAACAACCAGATCTCACATGAACTCAGACTGAGAACTCACTTATTACTGTGAGGAGGGCACCAAGCCATTCATGAGGGATCTGTCCCCATGACCCAGACACCTCCTCCCTAGTTTCATCTCCAACATTAGGAATTGCATTTCAACATGAGAATTGGAGGGGACAAACAGCCAACCCATATCAGTGAGTGCTTGAAATGTTACAATATATTCTTTTTTCTTTTCCTGTTTTTTTTTTTTGGCAGGATCTTGTTCTGTTACCCAGGCTGGAGTGTAGTGGTGTGAATCTGGTTCACTGCAGCCTTGACCTCCTAGGCTTAAGCAATTCCCCCAACAAGTAGCTAAAACTACAGCCATGCATCACCATGCCCAGCTAATTTTTTATTTTTTTGTAGAGATGGGATCTTGCTATGTTGTCCAGGCTGGTCTCAAGCTCCCGGCCTCAAGCAATTCTCCCTTCTTGGCCTCCTAAAGTCCTGGGATTATAAGCATGAGCCACCACACCGAGCCTTAGATTATTGATATATGTTAAGAAATTAGTATTATTGACATAAAAAACCAAGCAACCTGATTAAAAATGAGCAAAGGATCTGAGTGGACATTTCTCCAAGGAAGATATACAAATGGCCAACAAGCACATGCTCAATAAGCACATGCTCAATAAGAAAACGCAAATCAAAATCACAGTAAGATACCACATTGCACCCGTCAGGAAGTCTACTATAAAAGCAAACAGAAACACACTCTAGGAAATACCAAGTGTTGGAGCCCTTGTACGTTGCCAGTGAGGATGTAAAATGGTGCGGCCACTATGGAAAACACTATGGTGGCCTTTCAAGAAATTAAACGTAGTCCAACCACATGGTCCAGCAGTTTTTCTAGGCATACACTCAAAAAAGGGTAAAATCAGGGCCTCAAACAGGCATCTGTATATCCATGTTCATATCAGCATTATTCACAGTAGCTAAAATGTAGAAACAACCCAAGTGTCTGTTGAAGGATGAATGGTTCCATGCAACATATACACACGACGGAATGTTACTCAGCATTGAAAAGAAGAAAACTCTGGGCCAGGCGCAGTGGCTCACGCCTGTAATCCCAGCACTTTGGAAGGCCGAGGTGGGTGGATCGTGAGGTCAGGAGATCGAGACCATCCTGGCTAACACGGTGAAACCCCGTCTCTACTAAAAATACAAAAAAATTAGCCGGGCGTGGTGGCGGGCGACTGTAGTCTCAGCTACTCGGGAGGCTGAGGCAGGAGAATGGCGTGAACCTGGGAGGCGGAGCTTGCAGTGAGCCGAGATTGCGCCACTGCGCTCCAGCCTGGGGGACAGAGCGAGACTCCGTCTCAAAAAAACAAAAAAGAAAAAAAAGAAGGAAACTCTGACTCATGCCATGCTGTGGATGAACCCTGGGGGCGGTGTGGTAGATAAAATAAACCACACACAAAAACGCACTGTGTGAGTCCACTTATATGAGGTACCAGAGTAGCCAAAATCATAGAGACAGAAAGCAGAATGGTGGCTTCCGGGGGCCAGTGGGAGGAGGAATGGGGAGGGAGTTAGTCTTTAATGGGTAGAAATTTTTGCAAGATGAAAAGAGTTATGGAGATAGATGGTAGTGGCTACACAGCAGAGTGAATGCACCTGTTGCCATAGAAACAAACACTTCAATATGGTTAACATGGGAAATTTTATGTTATGTATATGTTACCACTATAAAAAATAAATTAGCGTTGTTTCTTTCCATCTTAGCTTTCTTGTCCTGGTTTGGTAAATTTTTTTTTTTTCCTAGGTTACGTCAACTTTATAATTTTGGTTCCTGAAAGCAAGTATCATTTTTACGTAAATTCACTGCACAATACTATTTCCTAATTTGGTAGATAATCATCTCTGCTAATAGTACAAATATTTATTTGGGACATTTTTCTGGAAGTTTCAAAATCACAGATTGAAGTTGGGTTCATAGCCACTGAAAGATAATTGGCCTGGTCAAAGTTTGAGGAAGGAGAAGTTTCGCATGTTAGCACTCTATGGAATTAGGGTTTGAACAGGGAATTTTAGGCTCTGCACGAACCCCAAATGTCCCTAAATGGTGAGATACATGAGGGTTCTCTGATTTAATCTCATACGCCAAGTGATGGCCTCTGGTACTTCAAAATTAATATTTGGCAAATAAATAATTGACTGTCCTTACAAAGTCACTTCTAGGTGGATTAATCATGAAGACATATTCAATTTATTCTTCAAAAGATTGGCTGAACTCAGGTGAAGCCGGGTTCTGTGCTACAAATTGGTGTTACAAAGGCAATTAACGCACACTTGGACTCTAACTTAGTTTGACACATGGTGTAGACAGACTCAGGACAGAAACTCTTCCTCTTTTTCAGAGAGGAGCAGCAAAGATTCAGACAGCATCTCTCGCAGAAGGCACAGGCACAGAAGGGCTAGAATCGTTCTGCAACTTGCTTCCCTTTGGTCTCCTTTCTGGTGGCTTTAGCTAAAAGAGCTTTGTGTCCTTAGCTGTAAATCAGCTCCAGGAAGCTCTGAGTCTTGTTTAAGAACAGCATTGTGAACCGTTGTTCTCTGAGAGTTATATGTAATTTAAAGTAAATTTACACGGAAGCTTAAATGTCACTGTTTGAATTAAGAGATAGGCATTTAAAAGAAAGTCAAATTGAAATCATGGCTCAACAAATGGTTGAAATACAGTCACTGACAAGCCATTGTGTCCATTACTGTGAACTCCAATCCAAGCAGACAATGGAAAATTACCTCTTTTTGAAAACTTACATAAGGACACCTTTATCTCTAATGAGTTCATGAATTTCTTTGACATTCTAACCTGCTGGCACCCTTCTTCTAGCCTCAGAAGGGTTGCTCTGTCAATGAGAATCCTCAACTGGGAGAAGAAAAAGTGCAGCTTCTCTGTCTTAAGAAGAAATAGCAGGCCAGGTGCAGTGGCTCATGCTTGTAATCCCGGCACTTTGGGAGGTTGAGGCGGGTGGATCACGAGGTCAGGAGATCGAGACCATCCTGGCTAACGCGGTGAAACCCCGTCTTTACTAAAAATACAAAAAATTAGCCGGGAGTGGTGGCAGGCGCCTGTAGTCCCAGCTACTCGGGAGGCTGAGGCAGGAGAATGGTGTGAACCCGGGAGGCGGAGCTTGCAGTGAGCCAAGATCACGCCACTGGACTCAAGCCTGGGCAACAGAGCGAGACTCCGTCTCAAAAAAAAAAAAAAAAGAAGAAGAAGAAATAGTAAATAAATGACATAAGTAAATGATGTCCAGTCTACTGGGTTTCAGGAGCTCTGTTGTCAAAAGCTTAGTTCCTGCCTCATGGAAATGATGAAGGTAGAACTTTCTCTTCTGTAGTCCTTTCGACTGTGGGTAATGAGATGTTTAGCATTTAGTGTGTTCCAGATGTGGATGATGCTGCACAAAGGTGAAGAGTTCTGGGTCTGCTTTGATTGGATCAGGGGCACCTGCAGCAGGTGTTGTTGGCTGCATGTCTACAAGCCATCTCCCCGCAACTCCTTTCTTTCTATTGGTACCATTGTTATGCGCCAATATGGGGAGGGAGACAATGCATTTAAAGATAATGAGTCTCCAGTCCCAGGGAGTGAGCTATGACTAGTCAATGACATTGCTACTAATTTTGTTCCCCTTTGCCACTTTTTGTCTTTGAAAAGGGCAAATGACCTGATTCTGGCCAGTGGTCCCTGAGGGAAGTCTAGCAAGAAAGGCTTTCTCCATGAAACAGAAGAAAATTTGGGAACTCTTGGCCTCTTTTCCTGCCTTGGAGATATTGCTTGAGGGTGTGATGTCTGGAGCTATGACTGTTACTTTGTGACCATGAGGCAAAAGCCAAGAGCATCTAAGAACATTGATAGCATTCAGCTGCTGTTTCAGCTGCTCGCCTCGGCTCTGAGCATTTTGTTATATGAAACAGTTATGTGCCTTTAGTGTTTAAACCACATTAAGTCAGGCATTTTGTTACTTACAACACAACAAAAGTAAATGTTACCTACTTGGCATAGTACCTAAATGATTACCATTTAATAAATAAACAAATCTCAGGTTTAATTTGACCAGGAAAACCAAGAGCATAAGATTTGGAATAAGTAAAGAATAGCCTCAATACTGTTAGTGTGTTTACAGCACCCACACAGCTCTTTCTAAAGAGCAACGTGCCGTCAATTATCCAGATATGTTGTGTATAAGATGAAGAATAGGTGAGGATGTAAATTAGTTCAATCACTGTGGAAGACAGCGTGGCCATTCTTGAAAGACCTAGAATCAGAAATACCATTTGACCCAGCAATCCCATTACTGGGTATATACCCAAAGGAATGTGAGTCATTCTATTATAAAGATACATGCACACGTATGTTTATTGAAGCACTATTCATAATAGCAAAGACATGGAATCAACACAAATGCCCATCAATGATAGACTGAATAAAGACAATGTGGTACATGTACATCATGGAATATTATGCAGCCATAAAAAGAAACAAGATCATGTTCTTTGCAGGGAAATGGATGAAACTGGAAGCCGTTATCCTCAGCAAACTAACACAGGAACAGAAAACCGAACACCGCATCTTCTCACTTATAAATGGGAGCTGAAAGTGAGAACACATAGACACAGGGAGGAGAACAACACACACTGGGGCCTGTCAGGAGGTCGGGTAGGGGAAGGGAAAGCATCAAGATAAATAGCTAATGCATGTGGGTCTTAATACCTAGATGATGGGTTGATAGGTGCGGCAAACCATCAGGGCACACGTTTACCTATGTAACAAACCTGCACATCCTGCACATGTATCACAGCACTTAAAATAAAATTCCATGCCATTTTACTGAACAACAAAACAAAACAAAAACAAACAAATAAACAAAAGATGCAGAACAAGAACAACGATTTCAAGTCATCATTCTCATGATTTGGAATTCTTTTTTTTTGAGACTGAGTTTTGCTCTGTCACCCAAGCTGGAGTGCAGTGGCATGATCTCGGCTCACTGCAACCTCCACCTCTTAGGTTCAATCAATTCTTGTGCCTCAGCCTCCTAAGTAGCTGGGATTACAGGCCTGCACTGCTACGCCTGGCTAATTTTTGTATTTTCAGTGGAGATGGGGTTTTGCCACGTTGGCCAGGCTGCTCTTGAACTCCTGACATCAGGTGATCTTCCCGCCTTGGCCTCTCAAAGTGCTGGAATTCCTGCTCCCACTTTCCGGGCTTAGAATTAATGCCTGCTCTTCCACTTCTTGCTTTTGAAAACCGTACCACTTGTTAAAATTGGTCAACAATGGAGTAAGTGAGGAGTGCTGTGGTTCACGATTGATGAATCAGAGCTTCCCATCACAATGGTTCCATCTTCAACTCCTCTTTTTGCTTGAGAATCTGCCACGTGCTTCAAACTGTGCACTGCTCTTGAGACCTGGTCTCCATCTCAAGGAATCTGGAATTGCTGGAGAGATCAGAAAAAGACACACAAAGCTACAGGAAAAACACCAGGGCGTGGTGCTGACATCCTGAGCTGTGGGCACAAGCCTGTGGGGACTTGGTAGTGAACGTGGGCAGCAGGAGGGTGTGATTGGGAGGAGGGTCTATGAGGTGGATTTCCACATGCGTTAGGATTGGGAGGAAAGCATGGGGCAGCCAGTAGATCTGAGCCTGTTAGCTCCAGCTGGCAAGGGTGATGGGAGGAGAGGTCAGGAACAGAGACTGGATTACAGGAAACTCTGCATATGAACTAATTATAAAACCAGGTTTATAAGAACACATGTTAATGGTTATGACAGTTACTAAAGTAAGCTGAATTCTTGCAAAGCATGGACAGCATGATCTCCTGTCCTCAGAGGTGCACTGCTTTGGACAAATCTTTCCCCTATCTTTGTTTGGATTTCATGTAGGAAACAGCCCTCTCTTCAGGACATGAAGCTAGTGGGTTGGAACAAGTATCTAGTAATTCTTGCTGAAGATCTTTGGAATGTTCTATGCTTTCGTGGTTTCATGTAGCAGTGGAATACTTTGCCATGAGTGGCAGCTCCCGGAAATGCCTCTGAATGTATTTCTGTAAATTTACAGAATCAAAGCTGGCCATGGCATGCTGCTTTTGCATTATATTAGATTGACCGCAATGATGGCCTGTTTTGGGCAATAGTGAAGGAATAAGATTTTAACGTTTGACTTTAAAGAATTAATGATAAATTGGCTTAACCACTTTACCGTTTCTTCTTTTCATTTAAGTAACCGTGAATAAAGGTTTTATACAAAATTCATAAGCTTTGTTTATATTGTTATGAGTTACCCGTTAATTCAATTGAAAAAAAAAAGTGTTATTGATTGCTTGAATTTCACACCTTCTAAGCAAATCTTTCTGTCACATAGAAGAGAACGATAGATGCATTTTTCATTTAAAAAGCATTTTACACATTCAGCACTCCGCCTAACTGGCCACCAATCTTCCCATGCCTCATTTTCCTGCATGTAGAGTGGGGATAATCATGGCTCCTGTGACTTTTACAGATGTGTCTTCTGCTGCTCGGGTTCCCCCTGAGAGCACTAAGACAGGTGAAAAATCTGTCCCTTCTGGGTGCTGAGGAGGGGGGCAGGAGCAGTCATGGGGGTTAGAGAGGAAGACTGGAGATGGGGAAAGAAGGGAAGAGAGGGACAGAGTGCATGGCAGCGAGTCCAAGCCACAAAGAGTCTGGCGGGAAAGAATGATTACGGGCGTGCAGGCCAAGGGAGTAGAGCGGCGTTGGAAGAGGTGCGCTGAGACCACTCAATTGCGGTCCCCTCGGCTTCGCGCCGAGGCGTGGAGGAGGGAAACCAACAATCAGAGGCTTGCTCAGAGCAAGAGACAGAAAGCAAGCATTCACCAGCGGACCGGGGATCACTTTGTCAGTGAGACGTCTGACCCCTCCATCTCTATTTCCAGACCTATTACCCCACCCCGTAGACAACCACATTCGTGCGTAATCTGTTTCTCCAATGCACCATACAGAACTCTCTTACTTTGAATTCTCCTGGAAAAAGACCCTGAGGCAAGGATTTGGGTTCGAGTCACCTCTTTGGAAGGTGATCCTGGGACACGCTGGAAGGGAAGAGGAAAAATGAGAAAGAAGACCAGGAAGATGCGGCTGTGCCGGCGAGTTACCTGGTTCCCAGAGGAGCAGCTGCAGGGAGTCCCACTGGGGCCTCTGGCGAGCAGCGTGAACACACCTCACAGACAGCGATGGGGTGAAGGAGGCGGGCACTGCTCCTCAAATCCATTACTGAGGCCTCAGGAAGGGAAGAGAACAGAAGAGGGCTGCAGATACCCAGCGCTAGCCGGCTTTGCTGTGCAGAAGTGAGCGCTGTGGGGAAGCGGGCGGCACCGGCAGAGGTCTCTGTAGTACAGCCTGGCTCCACCGAGTCCCCTCACACTCTGGCTGGCTCTGTCCTGTCCCTCCTTGTCAAGGTGAAGGCTTGTCATAGCTTCTGGGGTCAGACATCACGGGACTGCTGGCAGGATATGCTGCACTCCCCAAACCCCCGTCTGTGGTCCCTCTCCCCTAGCCACTGCCTTGGCGTCTCTGCGGGGTATAGCAGGTATTTATCCTGGAAGGGTCTGAGCCCCTGGTCACCATGTCACTGTGAGCCCTGGTGGCTGCCATTCATTGTCCACTGATGGAAATCATCGGGCAGGGCTGCCTCCTGAGGCACCTAGTAAGCCCCATGAATGTGAGGCAAGGCTTTCCCTGGCTCGGTGATGTGGCAGCAGCCCTATGTCCTCCAGATAATCAGGGGTAATTACCCCTGCCTGTTCGTTTCTTTTTCTGTGCCTTGCTGTCAATTGGCACAAGGAATCCAGAGTTACTAGGCAGCGCCCATAACTTTAGATTTAGTAAAACCCTTCCTGGTTTCCTGGTGAGAAGTTCTCCTGCCCCACCCCTAAAGAAAGGACCTAAATAAAACAGACCCAAAAGTCCTCATCCTAGTGGGGAACATGACTGTCCATCTGAGAGTCTTCTCAGGCACAGCAGAATTACCCTCCCAGATGGTGGTGGAGGGGCTACTGCTGCTGGCTAAGACTCAGCAGAATTTAGGGGCTCAACATCTCCCCTTCATCAGCATCTTCCTGAATGTCCCCATTCTAATATTCCAATTCCCATTCTTTTCCAGTCAGTGCCCTCACTTTAACAGCAGATGCCCTGGGAGGTTGGGAATTCCATTTGTGTTATCTTTCAGCCACTCAAGTGATGAGACTCTGGGTTTGATTGTCAGCAATCTCAGCTCTCAGGTGACAGGAGAGAAGAGTTTCTTTCATGGCAGGCAAAGAAGTGTGTAATCCCAGCACTTTGGGAGGCTGAGGTGGGCGGATCACGAGGTCAGGAGATTGAGACCATCCTGGCTAACACAGTGAAACCCCGTCTCTACTAAAAATACAAAAAAATTAGCCGGGCATGGTGGCAGGTGCCTTTAGTCCCAGCTACTCGGGAGGCTGAGGCAGGAGAATGGCGTGAACCCAAGAGGTGGAGCTTGCAGTGAGCCGAGATCGTACCACTGCACTCCAGCCTGCGTGACAGAGCGAGACCCTGTCTCAATTAAAAAAAAAAAAAAAATTCTTCAGGTCACTTAAGCTGGAAATTTGAAGCCCGGAACTCATGGTTTTCTTTCCCCACTTCATCCAGCATAGATTGGAAAAACCAGTCAATGTTATTACACTTATTAGTTTGACAGAAATGTTCTATAGTATCAAATATAGGGTCACCCAGAGAACCTGACTTGATACATATATCAGAGTCTCATTTCATGAGTGGTTGAATGATAACAGAAATGAAATTTTCAATCTCTGGGTGTCTGCTGTTAAAGTGAAGGCATTGATTGGGAAGGAAAAGGGTCCTAAAAATTGGAATGGGAATATATGAGAAGATATTGATGATGCTGGGGATATTGAACAACTAAGTTGAATAGATAGATAGATGATAGAGAGATAAATAGATAGATAGACAGACAGATAGATAGATTTCTTGTGAGGAATTAGCTCATGCTATGGTGAAGGCTGGAAAGCCCGAAGTCTGAAATTTGTAGGACAGGGTGATAGGCTGGTGATTCAGGCAGAATTTCTATGTTATGAAGTTTAGGCAGAATTCCTTCTTTTCTAGGAATCCTCCATTTTTACTCTTAAGGCTCTTACTTAATGTTGACTGACTGTAGGTGTTAATCACATCTACAAGACACTGTCACGGCAACATCTCGATCAATATTGGACCCAAAAACTGAACATCGTAGTCTAACCAGATTGATACCTAAAACTTAACCATCCCATCCACCTTCATCCACTGTGATGCACACCAGCGTCAGTACTTGCCCCGCTGGGTGAGCCTTGATCTTAGCTATTGCTCCAGCAGCAACCAAAGCAGGAGGGTAAATCTCCCCGTGGTGAGAATCACCTTGGAGACTTCAGGGGAGGTCTTTGCATGAGTCCTGGGAAGGGAGGCTTCTCTCCTCTACCAAGGTGGGGGCATGACTGCAGGCCCTGGGGGTTCAGGGAAGTCTGGCACTGGAGGTCCTCAACTTCATGAACCTTAACATCCCTACCCAAGGTTGTAAGGTTCTACCCCTTCCCTCTCAGGGTGCTAGTTTCAGCATGGGAATCTTGCCATAGCTGTGAATTCAGTACCTCAAACACTCTTACAATCAGAACCCAGGCCTGGTATTTGGAAAAACCAGCCCTTGGGATAAGGCCAGTGGTCTCTAGACCACTAGACCATTTCTAGAAATTTCTTCTAGAAATTTTCAGAAAGTGTTCTTGCTTTTTTTTTTTTTTTTTTTTTTTTGACAGCGTCTCACTCTGTTACCAGGCTGGAGTGCAGTGGTGCGATCTCGGCTCACTGCAACCTCTGACTCCCTGGTTCAAGTGATTCTCCTGCCTCAGCCTCATGAGTAGCTGGGATTATAGGCATGTGCCACCACACACAGCTAATTTTTGTATTTTTAGCAAAGACGGGGTTTCACCATGTTGGCCAGGATGGTCTTTATCTCCTGACCTTGTGATCCACCTGCCTTGGCCTCCTAAAGTGCTGGGATTACAGGTGTGAGCCACTGCACCCGGCCCACCTTCTTGCTTTCATACCACCCTCAGTTCATAGGTGACTGACATGAGGGTGCCGTTGTCTCCCTTCAGTGCTTTGAGCATGATAACCTCCACCAGTGAGCTCCAGGAGCATCGTTACCCAGGTCCTCACACCTGTCAAGCTTCAGGGGTCATGCTTACGTCGGTGCACCCCTTCCTCCTGCCTCTGCTCCCAGCCCACTCCGGGTGAGAGTCGTAAGAATGGCCAGGCTGCAGGGGCCAGGGCTTATCCCCATCTGTCCGTCCTCCAGAAATGAAGTCCTGTTGCTATCTGTCAGGTGGGTGACCAAATCCTGTAACCCAGCTCTGGAGACCTGCTTTCTGGGACCAGGGCTGGTGCAAATGGTCTTCAGTGGGTTTCATCTCAAGGTTTTGTTTTGTTCTGTTTCCAAACAGAGTCTCACTCTGCTGCCCAGGCTGGAGTGCAATGATGCCGTCTCCGCTCACGGCAGCCTCCACCTTCCTGGCTCAAATGATTCTCCTGCCTCAGTCTCCTGAGTAGCTAGGATTACAGGCACATGCCACCATGCCCAGCTAATTTTTGTAATTTTAGTAGAGATGCGTATTCACCACGTTCGTCAGGCCTCGAACTCCTGGCCTCAAGTGATCTGCCTGCCTCGGCCTCCCAAAGTGCTGGGATTACAGGCGTGAGCCACTGCGCCCAGCCTACTCTCAAGGGTTTTAATGTTAATTCATATTACCATGGCAGTGGGAATGAACACACATAGAATTTCCAATGTGTGGCAATTGGGAATGGCAAGATTCCCATGCTGAAACCAGGGCCCCGAGAGGGAAGGGGTAGAACCTTACAGCCTTGGATGCAGATGTTAAGGTACATGAAGTTGAGAACCTCCAATGCCAGACTTCCCTGAACCCTGCTGAGACTTCTTTCAGATTGTCCTGTGATAGATTCTCATATGCTCATACCAAATTTTATTTTTCTTTATTTTATTGAGGGATATTTGTTTCCACTTCTTACCATCATAAAAAATGCTTCATGGAATAATCTTACATGTATCTCCTTTTGTATCTATATAAATTTTGTCTGTCATGTATATTGGAACCGAATTGCTGGGTCAATGGATACATAGAGAGATAATTTTCTTAAATACTGCCAGAGTAAACCACATCAGTCTTGAATGGGAACAAATCTCATGTGTTATTACTTTTATACTATAAGACACTAGCATTTAATATATATCTATATTAAATATATATAGATTGCACAGCCATGAAAGAAATGATTTGATCCAGACCTCTCCTGTTCTCAATTCTTCCTAAAGTCTCTTAGTGATTTTCTCAGGGAAACATCGTAAATTTGTACTTACAGAGAACGTTGGAATGTTCGTCTTGGTGTGGTATTGTGTATGTGGGTGTGGAACATGTATGGGTTATGAGAAAACTAAGCAAGATGTGTGTAAGCTGCAAATTGTCATTAGGAAAATGAAACATTATTTCTAAGGAGAAAAATAAAACTCAGGAAAAAGGAGCCATTCAGTTCTCAGAGAGCCAGGAGAATTGGAAATGAAAGCTGGGAACCAGAGGAACAAAAGAGAAATTGCCACGTCGCCCGCTCTGACTTGCAGAAGCAGAATGTTCCGTGGAGAGTACGGTAATGGGAATGAAGGATGAGAAGCCGGCAAATACAATTTCACTTTATTTTAATGTGCTCTACACCTACAAGTGAATGCTCTATTTGTAAGGCAAAGACTTACATGACCTCTGGGAAGCCATCTAAGCCTCTCCGTCCCTCAATTTCTCCACTTGCCACATTTAGAAAATTGCCTTGGCTCCTAGACGCAGGGCAGGCGCGGGTCCGGCGCGGGTCCTTCTATTTTTCTAAAAGTGGTTTGCAGGGACAGATGCTTCTTGAGCCGACGGCTCTGTCCTTGGTGCAATGAACACAGACTTTACCAGTGTAATCACATTAGCAATGAGTTAGGTCTGACCTTACTGCCACGCGTAATTATGACTGGGCCTAGAAGTCAGGCGCAGTGGTCACGGGCAGTTCACAACAATGACTTAAACCAGAGCGCTCTCGCCGTCACAGCTACGTGCCAGTTTGTCACTTTTCAATTTTTTGGTTTTCTGCAAGCTTTCACTTGAATTGTCACCCAACCGTACCCCAAATAATTTGTTACTCTTTTATTAAAAAGGTAAATGTCTAGTATCTGCCTCTTACCGACTGTGGTATCCTCTCTTTAATCCTCACGCCCTTGTGATCTGAGGCCGAGCTGTGGAACTGAACTTCGTCTTCTGTGAGGATGACTGTCTTCCTGCGTCAGGCAAGGGTGAGGGAGGATCCAGCAGCCCAACTCAAGGGCAATCCCGCAGTTAGAAAGTGCAGTTCAGGGATGGCTACTGGGGAGAATTGGGGGTACAGGGGCAAACTGAACAGGGCTGAGGTTGGGCACAGAGGAGCTGGCCCAGATGTCACAGATATGACAGCTGTGTTGTAAATTACAGCTGCAAGAACCCAGTAGCATGAAGGAATGGCGTCCGGTCTTCACTGGTTGGAAGAAACACACGTTCCACAGCTGTAGCCTGAGTTCTTCTTCCCCTGGGAAAATGGGAACGTTTCCAGGCATAAAAGGGAACGGATTGACTACGCTGACTCGTAACACAAACAAAAACCTTTTTGTTCAAGACCGAGCACTGCTGTAGTCCTGACTTCAGGAGGAAGAGAGCCAGTGCCCCACCTGGGTGTGGAGCTCACCTATGGAATATTGTCAGAGCACAGCTGTGGAAAGGAATGCAGGGCTGAAAGGTCGCAGTTAGGCAGGTTGCATGTTTCTGGGGGACATGTACAAGGAATCTGAGAATTTTGCATAGGTTACCAAGACCCTGCCATAGTTTCTAAAAATCATTTTATTGTAACATAAAACAAAGATGCAGAAAAACACACAAAATGAATGTGCGGTCTAATGAACTATTGTAGGGAAAGGAGCCTCACGTCCAGAAGTGGAATTTGGCCACACGTCTGAGAAGCCCATCCAGTTGCTGGGTCCCGCTTATCCTAGTCCAGCTCCTTCCTTCTCCCATTAGTGGCCATTAGGCTGACTTATAATAATCACTTTGTGTGTTTTAAAAATAATGATGTCGTCTAAACGTGAACCTTGAACCACACGTCTAAACGTGAACTATTGCTTAGACTTGCCTCCCCCCCTCTTTTTTATTTAAAGTTTTGAGATAGTTTCAAGTGTCTTACAATCCACAGCTTCCCCTCCCTCACTTTGTTTTCTTTATCAGTTATTTATTGAAGCACCGGGGCTGTTTGACCCAGAGTCTCTTGGCATCTGGATTTTGGCGATCTCACACTCAGGATGCAGCTTGACCACTTTGCTGCCCACTGTGTATTTTACAGATTGGCAGATGCATCTGAAAACTAGGCTGGGCTGCACTCAGGCTCCACCACGTTTGCAAGGCTGCAGGCATCCCAGTGTCTTCCATTGGAGGCTGCAAAACACCTGACTGCCTATCCTTTCATGATGTCATCAGCAGCCAATGCTCAATTCCTAGTCCTGCATCAACCAATTCATTGCGGGGCCAGGAGCTTTAAAATAGTGATACTGTAATTTTATCACTTTCTTTTTCTTTATAAATCAGAATAATTTAATAAGGAGGTGGTTTCTACTATTTGATGAGCCACCGGATACCCTTGGTATTGTAAATACTTGATCTGTTCCCTGTATGAACTAGTTCTCAGTGTAGTAAATTAGTTCTCTATCATCCTCTAAAGATGGCCAATTGGTTTTTATTTAATGTCATTATAAACTCATAGAGTTAGACATTTTGATGTGTTTCAATATTTTGAATTATTTTCTCTTCTGATGTTCAAATTGTCTCATCTCTGTCCAGTGGGAGCCTCCTCATGGTGGCTTTTGAGTCATTCTGTTTAATCCTTGTCGTCTTTGGTAAGTTCCTCACCATCATGAATGACAGGGTATCTAGGCTTAGGTGGTCCATGCCCTGTGCTTGACCTGATGTTGGCCATTTCTCCAGAGCCCTGAGTTCTCACTGCAGGGGTATTGTTTTATTTGACCTGTTCTTTATTACACTGTATCTCCTCTCATTGACATCAAGATGTGGGAATGCAGAATTAGACTTTGAAATGTTGACCCTGCCCCACACTGCATGCACAAGTCTCAGGATGACAATACTAAGACAAGCAGCAACAGAATGATTGAGCAGAGGGCAGCACTTTGCTTCTTCCTTGGTGACATTCGTCACATCACAATGGTCTCGTCTACCGTCCGTTTTCCTTGTTGGATGTAAATTCATTGAGGAATCCATGCTTACCCTGCGTATCACTGCATCTCCTATGATGTCATAGTGCCTTGCTCATAGCTGAAACTTACATCCTTTATATTGAGGTTGGCTGAAAAGAACCAAAAACTCAATAAGTCAGGGTTGAAGTTGACGTGGCCTCCTTCTCTCTACTTTCTCCACTATATTGGGCTCCATGCCCATGGTCACCTCATGGCTCCAAAATGATTGCCCAGATCCAGCTATCACATCTGCATTCCTGCTAACAAGAAGGAGAAAAGGCCAACAAGAAGAGGAAAAGTTTGAAAATGGGGCAAGAGTTGTGTACAAGGTTCCTTTTAAGGAAGGCTCTGGGAAGTTGCCACTTTAGCTTATGTCCCTCTGGCCTGAACTTAATTTAATTCCACACCAATCTCCAAGGGAGGCTGCAAATGCAGTGTTTATTTTGGGCAACCAGGTGTCCAGCTAAAAACCATGGGTGTTTTTGGTAAGGAAGAAGGGAAAACAGGTATTTGAAAATGACTGGTGGCCACTGCCACAGAACATACAATATTTATTGAATAACCTGGTAAACATCAGTAGGAACATAAGGTTGGAAGGTAGTTCAGCGAAGGAGGGCTGGAGGGTCCAGCTCAGGTCCAAGTCTCTCTCTCACTCCTGTGGTGATGATTGCAGCTGGAGGTAGATGAGGGCTCCCAGAGAGAGGATCCTGATAAAAGAATGAAATAAAGGACAAACTTAAGGTAATGCTTCATGACTAATGGGAAGGAGGCCAAAATAATTGATGAGGAAGAGGAGGAGAAAACTTAAGGCATGGAGCTTCGAGAAGAATGGCTGATGATGTGACATCCTTTCTGCAACGAACGTCACCCACCCTGCTGTGAAAACAACTGACTGCTCTTTCTCCTGCTCTGAGCTCTGCGTCTCCTCTGGAGTCCAGCCTCTATCTCTACACCTGCGGCCCTCGTCAGGTCTCCAGTTGTCATCTGGGGTTGCTGCTGATCTGATCACCACTGAGGGCCTCACTGGGCTCTGCTCCCACCTGCTTCTGTCTCAGGGCTCTGGTTCTGAAGCTTCTCCTGCACCAGAATCACCTGGGGCTTGCTCAAACACGGGCCATGGGGGCTCCACCCTAGGGCGTCCCCATCAGTGGGTGTGGGACAAGCCCAAAATGTGCATCTTTGCAAATTTGCATTCCTGGTCCTTGGATGACTCATTGGGAATTGCTGCTCTCCTAAAGTGGTGGTGGGTTTTTGTTTATTTTTAAAAACATATTGTGACTTTGTTTACAGTTCTACACTCCCATCTTGGGGCTGCAGCTCTGGTGTGTGTCTTAGTCTGTTGGTGCTGCTAAAACAAAATGCCACGGACTGAGCGGCTGATAAAGAACAGACACTGATGGCTCACAGTTCTGAAGGCTGGTGTTCAAGATCGAGGTGCCAGCAGATTTGGTGTCTAGTGAGGACCTGCTTCCTGGTTCACAGATGGCACCTTCTGGCTGTGTCCTCACATGGTAGATGGGGTGAAGGGCTCTCTCTGGGGCTTCTCTTATATGAGCACTGATCCCATTCATGAGGGCCCCACCCTCATGACTTGATTAATCATCTTCCACAGGTCCCATCTCCTAATATCATCACCTTGGGGGATAGGATTTCAACATATACATTTCGGGGAGACACAGATATTGAGACCACAGCAGTACGCAAGCTCCCAACCCAACAGGATATTTAAGAATGAGGAGTTCGAGGCCGGTCTTGCCAACATGGTGAAACTCCATCTCTACCAAAAATACAAAAAATTAGCCAGGTGTGGTGGCACCCACCTGTAATCTCAGCTACTCGGGGGGCTGAGGCAGGAGAATTACTTGAACCAGGGAGGTGGGGGTTGCAGTGAGCCGAGATCACGCCACTGCACTCCAGCCTGGGAGACAAAGTGAGACTCAAAAAAAAAAAAAAAAAAAAAGAGTAAGTAGGTACCAGGAACCTCAATGAATTGTTCCTATCAGATATTTTTTCCCCTTCAGCCTGACATTGGATCACCTCTGTTACATGAGGGGCCACATACATCAGACAGACAGATGAAAGTCGGGTGCAGCTGAATGAATGTGGTGGAGACTGTGTACTTTGAAGACAAAGTACACATGTAATCCTTAGCTCTCTGAATTGTGCAAATGTTTCTAGGTCATCAGATCGCTGTCAAGCATGCTCTGTCTGCAGTGGCCTGGCTTCCATATAGCCACGGATGCTTATGCACAAAGTTGCTTCTAATCTGAAAGCATTGCTCACGTGTTCACCATGCTTATCACTAGATGTGATAAACTGAAATAAAACAGCAGCCCTTCCACTGCACCGTGGTTGGCTGTCTTGTCTCCTGTTTTGTGTGCATGCTTGTCCTATCATGAGGTTGTGCATTCAGGTGGTCAAACAGCCCTGCAATGACAGCCTGGGCTTGAATTCAGGCACTGCCGTCTGCTGCACCAGCTCCGTGATACAGGGCATGACTCAGCCTGCTGGTAACGTGGGAACCGATGAGTGTTCCCCTCACACAGAGCTCTTGCGAGCATTACCTGAAGTAACAGCTGTAGGGCTCAGACAGCACCTGACCTATGGCAAATGCCAGCTCTCACACAATGAGCTGCATGCTGATTCAACATGCATGAAACACATGTGGCAAGGGAGGTTCATGGTTATAACCTGATTGATATGATCTATGTCACTTTTTAAAAGCCTTGCAACAATGCAAACCCTGGCCTTGAATCATTGATGGCCGATACTTTTAAAAAGAAAATAATGACCCACCAATCATTTTAAGTCGCTTGAGAAGCAGAAGCCACGGAGCAGGCAGAATGATGTGCTGTATTGGGTTTCTTCTTGTGTTGAGTGTTGTGTTTCATAAATAATACAACTTGGAGTGGCTTTTCAGGCCGTATTTCACTCTGAATGTCTCTTCCTGCAAACTTGCATGAGCTTCGGAGGCCACCAGGGGAAGGCACGATGCTGTGGAACCATGACAGGTTAGCTCTTGTGATCAGCCTGTGTCCTTAACGCGGTGCTTGCTGGCCAGTCTCAGCCACTGACCTCAAGCTGTGCTCAGCATGAAGGGCTAAGAAAGAAAATTCAAAGGACTGATGGAGAAACTGGGCAGGTTTCTGAGAGGTTTACAGTGTATCTTGAGGCTGACACAAAATGGAACGGTGAATATTGTTGGACAAACTGAACAGATTGTGTTCCCTGTTAGTGAGCCTTGAACACAAACTTTCATCTCCCAAGGAAGCACGTGACAAACACCAAAGAGTTGTAATTTGAATACAAAGCTTTTTAAGCCAATGGCCATTGGTTTATTGCTGCTTGTGTTTGGCAGGGCTGCAGAAAGAGACCAGTAGCTACAGGCGCTTTCTGCCTGGCAAACAGATACTTCCTGTTGCATGGGAATTACGCACGGGGATACGTAGTTCTCTTCCCTGCATGAGAATAAGTGGGTCTCCCCCTTGCATGGAAATTTAAACATGGAAGCCTTTACAATCACTCTGGCCAAGCTAGTCTAAGGCACATGATTTCTCTTCTATGAACTGCACGATTCACCTTCCCTTCTTTTCTACCCTGTACTGACTGACTGACCCATGTTCTCTGAACACATTTGGCTACTTTGCAGCTCTTCATGCTGTTTCCATGGTAGAGGGGTATGAAGTTTAGAGTCACTGGATTATCTGACAGCCACATATGATTGTACAATGTGCCAGGAGGTATTCAGGGCATGTTACACACACGGACTCACTCAACCTCATGAGAACCATTTGAGGAAAGTACAAATACTGAATTCTATTTTGCAGATGAGAAAACGGAGGCAGAGGGTAGGGGTTGAGTCTGGTGTCTGGTGTGACCCAGCACACAGGTGACAGAACTTAGATAAGAGATGACAGATGTTTACATCCTAGCTTTGCAGTCCTGGCTGTGCAAACTTTGCAAATTACTCATCCAGTCTGACACTTAGTTTATTCATGAATAACTCCCCTTTCTATATTGTTTGAGGATGGAACAAGGTGACTTTTATGGGCCAAGCAGGATCTGTTTGAGGATCCCTGCCCAGAACGCAAGTCCTGAAGCTCACTGAGTTCGCCTGAACTCATTGTGCTATGCTCGGACACCTGCTGCCCCCGCTGGGCTCTGAGTTCCTCAACGACCATATCAGGGTGTTGATTTGTGTGTCCCTGAGACTTGCACAGCGCCTGGCAAATACACGCTGTAGCCAGAGGCTGTCTGTCCTCTGAAGAGCCATCTTCTGTCTCTCCACCTTGTCTTCTGCCACTGCTGGTTCTGCACTCTGGCCACCAGCCACATGGGATTTACTGATGTATTTTAAATGCATCCTGCTCTTCCTACTTCTATCGCCTGGCAGAGGTGTTCATCTTGGCATAATCACCAGCCCCTCACAACCCCCTTTTCGAGGACCATTTCCAAGCCCGTCCCCACAAGCCTTCCCTTCTGATGACTCAGACGGAGCTTGAGTCTCCTTTCTCGGAACTGCCTTTGGTGCTTTCATTGCCTGATAGCCCTAGACATGTTCTCTTTGGTGCCTTAACTGTTTATACTCTCGTACTCAGCTTTTTAAGAAATTGTAAACCTTGGCAGGCAGGGCTTCCCTTTCATTCATCTTGGCTGATGTTTAATAAATACTTTTCCCCTTTCTAGGACAAAAATAGAAACTCTTTTTTCTCGAGAAGGGGAAATGTGCTGGAGGGTTTTGCATAACACGCATCAATGCGTAGTGAAAGGGGCTTCATGCTAACCACTGGAGATGTGAGGTTTAGAATGGGCTCATTTACCAGCGGGGTCACTCTGGGGCTTCTCCTCATAGAGTGCCTCTGCATGTTCATCTATAAAACAGTGACAACAAGACCTGCTCTATTCATCTCAGAGTTTGAGAGGAACTGAAGTAACACATAACAAAGGAATTCAGGTGGCATGTGCATACTACATTGCAGGCGGTGTGCAAACCACGCTTGGAAGCATATTTTGGCCTATCAGAAACAGGCAATTCTCCACATTTTAAAGACGAAGAAACAAGTTTAGAAAAATTCAGCCACCTGTCTAAGGCGACCCAGCTGGTCCTTGGGAAAGCTGGAAACAGGGCTGAGGTCTGTGTGTCTTCAAAGTGAGTGGACGCCAGTCACTGCCAAGTGATGCTTTTTCCATGCACCAGCGTGAAATATTTGAGATTTCCATAAAAGTGAAAAAAGAGTGATTTTTTCCCTAGATATGAGTATGGCTAAGTTTTGTATTCATAACTTACACAAATTTGTGTTCCGACATTACTTGACCTGTGAATAAATAGTGCCTATCCTTGTAGATATTTGGCAACATAGAGGTTGTCATTAAAAGTATTTGACAACACTTGAAGATTTGCAGTGCCCAGTGAAGCAGCCCGCTCCTCCATGAGCGGAATTAGTTACTATGCCCCAGAACATGGGGAAAGGAGGGAGGGCACTTCTCCCTTTGCCTGTTGGTTGTCATGTTGGATCCATTTAGGAGGGTTTAATGGAGGCATGCAGATCTTCAAAATATGATGGTTTTACTGTGACTTTTCCCCTGAGGAATCAGGAAGTGTCTCTGCCACTGCAACAGATACCACAAGGTGATGATGCTGTTGCGCTGGTTATTGTATAGTGTGCAATTACAGCATCCAAGGCCAGAGAATGTCCAGGTCATACGTCAGACACTTCGGTGTGTCCTGCAGAAGTAACACACCTTTCAAAGCCCATTGATCTTCTAGGTTATTTTTTACTTAATGAAATGAGTTGAATATAAATGACGAATTTCCAGTGTGAAGCAGGAATGAGAGAGAGTCAAAGACAGCAGCATGGTAGATGTTTGGAACTTGATGCAAGGAAGAAAGACAAAGTCTCACCAAGCACAAAACTGCAAAACTGCAACAGCAAGAAGAGATGAAAAGTTCATTCACTTTTCCTGAATGTTTAAACTACTTGGAGGTTGTAATTAATTCCACGTATTTGTTAACTTGCTGTAATACTTATAATCAGCATGTGTACTAGGATTTGCGAATTGAAACTATTAAGAAAAGGAGTTTTGGGGGCACCAAAGGGGAGAACTCTCACCTTAATTTTGATGACAAAGAAACACTGTGGTTGTTTCTTTCAATAGGTTTAAGCAGGCTGGGCATGGTGGCTCATGCCTGTAATCCCAGCACTTTGGGAGGCCAAGGCAGGCAGTTCATGAGGTCAGGAGTTCGAGACCAGCCTGACCAACATGGTGAAACCCTGTTTGTACTAAAAATAGAAAAGTTAGCCAGGCGTGGTGGCAGGCGCCTGTAATCCCAGCTACTCAGGAGGCTGAGGCAGGAGAATCGCTTGAACCTGGGAGGTGGAGGTTGCAGTGAGCCAAGATCGTGCTGCTGCACTGCAGCCTGGGTGACAGAGTGAGACTCCATCTCAAAAAAAAAAAAAAAAAAAAAAAAAAAAGCTGATTCAAGCAAGAGCAGCACAGAGCTGCATATGTGGCCCGCAGGCAGAAGGGACACATTCAGTTCATTTGGGCAGTAAGAGGTCATATGTCTGTCAAAGACTGCTGCTACTCTCTGAAGGTGATTATTTATAAAAATTGGGCTGAATAGAAAATAGACTAAGTGTCAGGACATGCTGGACTCCTGGACTAGGGGTGTGCATGAGTACTCTGCCCATCTGACTCACAAATTGACCAGTGGGAACAGTGGGTGAGATCCCTCCCATTGTGTCCTGCTGAGCTGTGTGTGCTGGCTGAGGGCTGTGACTGCACAGGGGGAGGGATGTTATTTTCCTAGTTCTTGGAGGAGTTCCCTATGCACATCTGTCAGGAAGGAAGCGTCACCTGAAGTACCTCAATGGCTTTGTGACATCTTTGGGCCTCAGACCCAGGTGCTTCATAGAGCCAAATAGACTGATATTTCACTATTATCTTTTTACCTCTATTATAGACCGTGGGTTCGATGCTGATCCTGACCCTGGATAGAAATGATGTAGTGTCAAGGTAACTCCCAGAAAACGACTTCCAACTGTACAGAGATTTGGTTTCCCAGAGCAGGATGAATCCTGCAGTGCCAGGGTGCAGGAATTTCACCTGTGAGAGAGGAAGAAGGTGAACAAAGGAGGAAAGCCCAGAGAGAGTTGCTGGGCAGTGGCTCGATGGTGAGTTATGCCCAGTGAACAAAAGGTGAAGAAGGGACATATTCGGTTGGTTCATAGCCAGTGAAGGATGAAGCATAAATCAACTTCACAGTCATGCACCCTGACCTCAGATGAGTAGAAGGTAGTTTCCTCTTGCAAAAGGAGAATAAAAATAATTGGTGCCTCTGTAGTTATTATGGGGATTCAATGAGTTCATATTTGTAGAAAGCATACACCAGCGATTGAGACACAAAGCACAATATAGAAGTTTGTTTAATACCTACAATAAATGATTTGTATGTAGAACTTCCTAAATAAACTGCTAGAAACCTATTATAACCAATAAGTGAGTTTAGCAAGTTTGCCAGATCAACAGACAAAAATTAATTGTGTTTTTAAACAATACAATGAACAATCCAAAAGTGAAATTAAATAATTCCACTCAAAATAGCATCAAAGTGAACAAAATATCTATAAGTATATTTGCTGAAAGAAGTGCAAAATGTATACTCTGAAAACTATGAAACATTGTGGAAATAAATTAAAGTTATAAATAAATAAATGGATGCATGTTTTATTTTTATGGTTTAGAAGACTTCACATTACTAAGATGTCCATATTCTCCAAACTGATCTACAGATTCAACACAATGCACATCAGAATCAGACAAGCTGATTCTGAAATTTACATGGAATTGTAAGGGATCCAGAATAGTCAAAACAATTCTGAAAAAGAAGAACAAAGGAAAAGGACTTAGACTTCCCAATATAAAAACTTACTACAAAGCAACAAAGTAATCAATTAATTAATACAAAGTGATCAAGACAGTGTGGTATTGGTACAAAGATAGACAGATCAATGGAATATAATTGAGAGTCCATAAATAAACTCTTACATATAAGATCAATGGACTTTAACAAAGATGATAAGACCATTCAATGGGGGAAAGAATAATCTTTTCAGCAACTGGTGGTGGGACAACTGGATAGTCACATGCAAAAAGAATGGAGTTGGTCCCCTACTTCACACTGTATGCACAAATTAACTAAAAAAAAATTGACCTAAATATAACAGCAAAAACTTTCATGCTTAGTAGAAAATATTGGGATAAATCTTGATGACCTTTGTATTTGGCTGAGGATTCTTAGCTATGACATCAAAACTATAAGCAACAAAAGGAAACATTGATAGAGTGAATTTCATCAAAACTAAAAACTTTTGTGCTTCAAAGGACATTAGCAAAAAGGTGAAAAGACAATCCACAGAATGGAAGAAAATATTTGCAAATCATGTATCTAAGGGACTCAAATCCAGAATATATAAAGAATGCTTACAATCAAATAATAAAAAAACAAATAACCCAATTAAAATAGGCAAAGGTTCTGAATAGACATTGCTCCATAGAAATACATAAATGGCTGATAAACACAGGAATAGATTCCCAGCATTATAAGTCATCAAGGAAATGAAAATTAAAACCACAATGAAATACCACTTCAGATTTATTAGAATGGCTGCAATCAAAGAGTCAGAAAACAAGTGTTGGAGAGGGTGTGGGGTGGTTGGAGTCCTCACACACTACTCATAGAACTGCAGAACAGTGCAGCCCCTTTGGAAATGATTACACATAGAGTTACCACATGACCTCCATTTCCACTCCTCAGTATATATCCAAGAGAAATAAAAAAATATCTCCACACACAAACTGCACTCAATGGGCTTAGAGCAGCATTATTCCTAGTAGCTAAAAAGTAGAAACAACTCAAATATTCATCAAAAAATAAATGGATAAACAAAACGAGGTCTGTCCATACAATGGAATATGGAATACATATGAACCATAGAAAGAAACTGAGCACTGACCTATGCCACGGCATGGATGGATCGTGAAAACACAGTGCCAAGCAAAAGAAGCCAGACACAAAGGCCACATGCTGGATGATTCCATTCACATGCAAGTCTAGAGTGTGGATGAATAGATGAGACATCAAGCAGATGAGTGATTGCCAGGGACTGGGGAGGGCTGAGGAGAGGGGATTGGGGATCATAGCTGGAGGGTACAGGGTTTCTTTTCTTTTCTTTTTTTTATTTTGAGACGGAGTCTCACTCTGTTCCCCAGGCTGGAGTGCAGTGGCGTGATCTCGGCTCACTGCAAGCTCTGCCTCCTGGGTTCATGCCATTCTCCTGCCTCAGCCTCCAGAGTAGCTGGGACTACAGGCGCCAGCCACCACGCCTGGCTAATTTTTTGTATTTTTAGTAGAGACGGGGTTTCACCGTATTAGCCAGGATGGTCTCGATCTCTTGACCTTGTGATCTGACCATCTCGGCCTCCCAAAGTGCTGGGATTACAGGAGTCAGCCACCGCACCAGGCCCAGCGTTTCTTTTTGAGGGGATGTGGTGTCCTAAAATTAACGATGGTGATGATTTACAAGTCTGTGAATATACTAAAAACTGCTAAATTGCATACCTAATATGGCTTCATTATGTGATATGTGAATAATATCTCAATCAAGCTGTTAAATAGAAACATATGGCTATGGAACACCAGGGAGCACACCGTCAGCTTGTTTGGACAAGAATCTTTCCAAGAAGTGATCCCTGCCTATTCTTACAGCAGCCTCTTGACTTTGGTTATCAACCTAATTTTAATGACTTTACCATGCATGGATCTAAATGTCAATTCTGCCCTCTTTGATTTCAAAGCAGCTTTGCACCCTTGCCCTCAGGAGCATGAGTTTTAATGGCCATGGCTCCAAGACTTCACATTTGGCTTTCCTTTGATGGATAAGAAATGCAGGAAGACAACACCCTTGACTGAGTTTGGCAAGAGTTGCCTGCTACCAGGAAGCCCCCTATCCTTCAAAGGGTGGGCTGGGGACTCTCGCTAGAGACCCATGAGGTGGACACCACGTACCTGAATTCACTGTCAGCAGCGTGGCGGTGCTTTTTGAAGGTAACTGAGTTCATCCTTCATATTTCCTGAAGAGTGTAATGGATTAGTTCCCTAATTTAATGGTTGGAATTCATTTCCTCAGCAGTCAGTTATACTTGACAAAGAATGAAATGACCAATTGAAAAGGACATGGGAGGAGAAGGTTTTAACTGTGGGCAGAGCCGGGCTCTGAGGCTACTGGATTCTACCTCAGGCAGCCTGAGCAGAGCTGAAAATGCTCATGTGTCTGGTGTGAGGACATGGGGAGTGTCTGTAAGGTGGGTGTAGCCTCACTGAAAACTCTGAAGGCCCTAGGTGAACCAGCAAGACATTTAGGTACATTAAGTACCCACTGTCTGAATGTCTTTGGATTTCTTGGCTTCTATTCACAGATTAAGAGTGTTATTTGCTTTTTTGAGGAATAGCCAGGCCATTTGAGACTGCACCATTTTACTTCCCCACAAGCAATGTGCAAGGGTCCAATCCCCATGTCCTCACCAACACCTCGAGCGGGTATTTACTGTCGCTGTCTTTGAAGTAAGACTGTGAGAGGCTGAATCTACAACTGATGGTGGATAGACCACGTTGTGAATGACAGAACTCTGACCCGCCTCTGCAGTGACTGGCCAGAATGGTCAGGACGTAGTCCTTTGTAGCCACCTGCTCTAGTTTGCCCTTGCTTCAGAGTTAGGACCAACCGGAGAAAGTCCAAAATGCTCCCTGAACTGCCACACAGGATGGCCTGCTTCTTGTTAGCTTAGCCAGCTTCAGCTTCCCCCAGGCAGCAACCTCCAAGCAGGGCTCACTTTGTTTCACCATAAGCCTTGCCCACTCACCTGCCTGTCTTTGAGTCTCTGCAAGTGAAACAACTGTGACTAATTTTCTTACTGTAGCAACCCTGAAAATACTGGCTCTGCTGTTCTCACCTGGGTGGCCTACATCTACCTCCATATTAGGAGGATGAGTAATATCGCCAACTCTACAGCCATGAAGGGTGAGGGGAATATGCACCCACTGTTTCTCTATCTCTCTCTAAACAACTCTGCAGATGTGGAGGGTGAGAGTAAGCTGTCCAATCTCTCTCACCAACTGTACAGCCATGGCAGGTGAGAGGAAGATGCGCCCATTCTTTCTCTTTCTCTCTGTCTCTCACCAGCCCTACAGTCATGGAGGGTGAGAGTAAGATGTCCTCTCTATCTCCTCTCTCTCTCACCAACTCTATAGACATGGAAGGTGAGAGTAACATGCCCACTCTCCTTCTCTGTCTCTCACCAACTCTACAGCCATGGTGGGTAGAGGAAGATGTACCCATTCTTTCTCTTTCTGTCTGTCTCTCACCAGCTCTACAGTCATGGAGGGTGAGAGTAAGATGTCCTCTCTATCTCCTTCTCTCTCTCCCACCAACTCTACAGACATGGAGGGTGAGAGTAACATGCCCATTCTCCTTCTCTCTCTCTCTTATCAACTCTACAGACATGGAGGGTGAGAGTAATATGCCCACTCTCCTTCTCTGTTTCTTTCATCAACTCTACAGCCATGGAGGGTAAGAGGAAGATGTGCCCATTCTTTCTCTTTCTCTCTCTCTCCAGCTCTACAGACATGGAGAGTGAGTGTAAGATGCCTTCTCTCTCTCTCTCTTTCTCTCTCTCTCTTTTTACCACCTCTACAGCGATGGCAGGTGAGAGTAAGGTGCACTTGCTCTCTCACTCTGTCTCTCCAATCTCTATTTTTTATTGAATTATTTGAAAATTAGTTATAGACATGCCAAAACCTTACCGCTTAATTCTGCATGAATCTCAAAAGATCAAGGACTTATCTTACATACCACAATACTGTAAACCAAAAATATATTTCTAAGTCTCCCCAACCATCTGAATGGACTTCCTCCTCAGCCAGGGCATGCTTATAATTTAACCTGAAAGACTGGTTCAGGTCATGAGGGGAAGTGGGGGTCAGACTTCTCGATTTAGGGTGCCTCATTTTACCTCTCCAGCACTAACATCAACACAGACTTTAAGTTCTATAAGAAACATTTTACAACCTATTTTCTCTGAAGCCTGCTGTTGAAGGCTTCCTCTGTAAATAAGAACTTTGGTCTCCACAATCCTTTATCTTAACCCAGACATCCCTTTCTATTGTTCCGAGGTCTTTAGATAAACTCAACCAATTGTCAACCAGAACATGTTTAAATCTACCTATGAGCTGGAAGTTCCCGCTTTGAGCTGCCTGCCTTGCTGGACCAAACCAATGTATTTCTTAAATGTATTTCATTGAAGTTTCATGTTTCCCTAAAATGTATAATACCAAGCTTCACCCTGACCACCTTGGGCACACGTATGTTCTCAGGATCTCCTGAGGGCTGTGTCGTGAGCCATGGTCACTCATACTTGGCTCAGAATAAATTTCTTCAAATATTTTAGAGTTTGACTCTTTTTGTCAACAATACAATAATCACCTGAAAAGAGCTTAACAATAATACAGTCATATTATGTCACACACGGTTCATGTTTAAATTTCCCAAGATGTTCCAGGAGTATTTCCGTAGCTATTTTTTAAAATCTAGAATCTGTGAAAGGAAAATATCTTGGGCGTCCAAAATCACTAATGAAACTCGAGCTCAAACTGCTTAGGGCAAACCTGCCTCCCACTCTGTTCAAAATTATGCCTCTGCTCACTGAGATAGAACCTCTTCTTTGGAGAGGCTCATCAGAAACTCAAAAGAATGTGACCATCTGTCTCTCACCTACCTGTAACCTGGAAGTCCCTCCCCACTTCCTGTCTTTCTGCCTTTGCTTCAAGCTTCCTGTCTTTCCTGATGGAACCAGTGTACTTCTTACATATATTGATTGATGTCTCATGTCTCCCTAAAATGTTTAAAACCAACCTGTGCCTGGCCACTTTGGGCACATGTCTTCAGGACTTCCTGAGGCTGTGTCACAGGCACGGCCTCCACCTTGGCAAAATAAACTTTCTAAATGAACTGAGACTTTGTCTCAGATTTTCTGGGTTCACAGATCAAATCAGTGATCACTCATTGCATTTTGCATTTTGCCTTTCTGTCTGTTTGCCTCTTTAATGTAGAGAAGCTCCTCCCTGTTTTATTTGAATTTCATGGCATTAATAGAATTGAAGAGTCCAGGTCCGCCTTATTTGTAGAATGACTCATGTTTTGAATTAGTCTGACTGTCCTTGTCTCCATTAAATTAACACTGAATGCTTTTGTGTGATCCCTCAGCACATGATAAAGTGATGTGTGTTTCCCCTGGTCCCACATCAGGAGGTGTGGAATCCCACTGTGTTTTATTATTGGTGATCACGTGGTTGACACAGGGACCCCCCCCTCCACCCCAGATGTCTCTGCTATAAAAGTTCTGTCTTTTGTAATTAACACGTACAAGTGTTATACATGGTGTTTATAACATTTGGAGTGATATTTTTTGGCCCTGTAAAAATTCTATTCCCCAAACATTTTCAATCTACTGGGTTTAACACATCTATTTGTTTTATTGATGTGGTTAGGCGTTTTACCCTAATCCATGCTGCATGTGTGTGTGTGTGCATGCATGTGAATCCATTTTAATTTTTGTTGAGTGAATTATCTGTTCTACATGGTGACAACTTGAGCTAAGACCAGAGTTGATCTACAGTTAATGGAATTGTCTATAAAGTGATAATGATAGCTACCCACTGCTTGTGTTTACGGCATATATTCCTCACAGCAACCATACAAAATAGAAGCTATTGTCTCCATTGTACAGGTGGGGAGAGCAGAACGCAGAGACGGGAAATGGCTTCCCGAGGCCCCGGGGCCATGGATGCACGGCACTGTCCCACCCAGCGGGCGGGTTCCAGGCCTGATTCTCCACACCTGTCCCACTGCTACAGCCTCTGGGTTATCAACTAGACACTACCAGTGAACATCTTTCCAAAAACGAAAAGGTGGTGGAAAACGTAAATTTTGTTTTGAGCAAAAGAAAGTGAAGCAGCTGAGGGGTTTTACAAAGATTGGAGAGTAGCATTCTGAGGAGGCATCCGAAAAAGACTAAAAATCCCTTCCCTCCTGACTCTACCCACTCCAAATGTTTTCTCTCCAGTTGTTTCTTACTTTGCCCTCTCAGTTCTCTTCATGAGGTTTACTTCTTGGGGATTAATAGATCAGCAACCAGTATGCTGATCGTAAGTCCAATAGCCATTTTGGAGTTTTCCCAGGCACTTGAGGAAGGGCTGAGGTAGGGAAATGTTGCTGCACTCAACAGAGTTTCAAACCAGGTGACTCCAGGCTTTTGGGAAAAAAATGTCTGATAAAATAGCAGAAATGAAATGAGCAGCAGATTAAACTCTGGGCTCCTCACAGTCCTCTTAAGGGGCAACATACCAGGGTCATCATTTTTTTTTTTATTTTTTTTGTCTTTGAGACAGAGTCTTGCTCTGTCGCCCGGGCTGGGGTGCAGTGGGATGATCTCAGCTCACTGCAACCTCTGTTTCCCGAGTTCAAGCGATTCTCCTGCCTCAGCCTCCCAAGTAGCTGGGATTACAGGCACCCACCACTGCACCTGGCTAATTTTTGTATTTTTAGTAGAGACAGGATTTTGTCATGTTAGCCGGGCTGGTCTCGAACCCCTGACCTCAGGTGATCCGCCCGCCTCAGCCTCCCAAAGTGCTGGAATTACAGGTGTGAGCCACTGCCCCCTGGCCTGTAACCACTTTAGAATGATAGACAAATTGACCACTGAGGAAACTTCCAGAAAATAATCTAGTGCAAAATAAAAGAGCTTGGGACAGAATGTGTTTGTGTTTTTATCATTGGTGGCCTGAGATATCAGAAAATGTAGTGTGTTGGACTAGGGGGAGTCTAATAAAAGGCCTTCATTTTGGTTCAGTACTGTGGTCTTCCTAGTATTAACTTTATCTTTTAATTTTTTGTATAACACTTAATTCAGCCCTCTTAAATATCTGAACTGGGCTGGTACAGTGGCTCATGCCTGTAATCCCAGCACTTTGGGAGGCCGAGGCAGGTGGATCAACTGAGGTCAGGAGTTTGAGACCAGCCTGACCAACATGATGAAACTAAAAATACAAAAAATTAGCTGGGTGTGGTGACACATGCCTGTAATCCCAGCTACTTGGCAGGCTGAGACAGGAGAATCACTTGAACTCAGGAGGCGGAGAGGTTGGAGTGAGCTGAGAACACACCACTGCACTCCAGTCTGGGCAACAGAGGGAGACTCTGTCTCAAAATAAATAAATAAATAAACCCGGCTGACTCTCTTTTTGGACTCAGCCTGCCTGCACCCAGGTGAAATAAACAGCCATGTTGCTCACGCAAAGCCTGTTTGGTGGTCTCTTCACACGGACACGTGAGACATTCGGTGCCGAAGACCTGGGTCAGTGGGACTCCTTCAGGAGACCAGTCCCCTGTCCTCACCCTCACTCCATGAAGAGATCCACCTATGACCTCAGGTCCTCAGACCAACCAGCCCAAGGAACAGCTCACCGATTTTAAATCGGGTAAGCGGCCTCTTTTTACTCTCTTTTCCAACCTCTCTCACTATCCCTCAACCTCTTTCTCCTTTCAATCTTGGCGCCACCCTTCAATCTCTCCCTTCTCTTAATTTCAATTCCTTTCATTTTCTGGTAGAGACAACGGAGACACATTTTATCCATTGACCCAAAACTCCGGTGCTGGTCACGGACTCAGGAAAGCAGCCTTCCCTTTGTGTTTAATCATTGTGGGGACGCCTCTCTGATTATTCACCCACGTTCCATTGGTGTCTGATCTCCGTGGGGAAGCCTGCCTTGGTCATTCACCCACGTTCCCTTGGTGGCAAGTCAACTGCAGGGATACCTGCCTTGGCTGCTCACCCACATTGCGGCCCAGGGCTGCTCCCCACCCCGCTTCTCCATGGCTCTACCCTTCCCTTTAAACTTGCCTCCTTCACTATGGGCAACCTTCCACCCTCCATTCCTCCTTCTTCTCCCTTAGCCTGTGTTCTCAAGAACTTAAAACCTCTTCAACTCTCGCCTGACGTAAAATCTAAGCATCTTATTTTCTTCTGCAACACCGCTTAGTCCCAATACAAACTCAACAGTAGTTTCAAGTGGCCAGAGAACGGCACTTTCGATTTGTCTATCCTACAAGATCTAAATAATTTTTATTGAAAAATGGGCAAATGGTCTGAGGTGCCTGATGTCCAGGCATTCTTTTACACATTGTTTCCTCCCTAGTCTCTGCTCCCAATGCGACTCATCCCAAATCTTTCTTCTTTCTCTCCTGTCTGTTCCTTCAGTCTCCACCCCAAGCTCTGAGTCCTTTAAATCCTTCTTTTCTACGGACTCATCTGACCTCCCCTTCTCCCCAGGCTGCTCCTCGCCAGGCCAAGCCAGGTCCCAATTCTTCCTCAGCCTCTGCCCCCCCACCCCATAATCTTTTTATCACCTCCCCTCCTCACCCGGTCTGGCTTACAGTTTCGTTCCGCGACTAGCTCTCCCCCACCTGCAAAGCAATTTCCTCTTAGAGAGGTGGCTGGAGCTAAAGGCATAGTCAAGCTTAGTGCTCATTTTTTCTTTATCCGACCTCTCCCATATCAGCTAGCATTTAGGCCCTTTTTCATCAAATATAAAAACCCAGCCCAGTCCATGGCCCGTTTGGCAACAACCCTTAGACATTTTACCTCCTTAGACCCATAGGGGTCAGAAGGCCGTCTTATTCTCAATATGCATTTTATTTTATTACCCAATCTGCTCCTGAGATTAAATAAAGCTCCAAAAATTAAATTCCGGCCCTCAAACCCCACAACAGGACTTAATTGTACACCTCACCTTCAAGGTGTACAATAATAGAGTAGAGGCAGCCAAGTAGCAATGTATTTCTGAGCTGCAATTGCTTGCCTCCACTGTGAGACAAACCCCAGCCACATCTCCAGCACACAAGAACTCCAAATGCCTGAACCGCAGCTGCCAGGGGTTCCTCCAGAACCTCCTTCCCCAGGAGCTTGCTACAAGTGGTGGAAATCTGGCCACTGGGCCAAGGAATGCCCGCAGCCTGGGATTCCTTCTAAGCCATGTCCCATCTGTGTGGGACCCCACTGAAAATCAGACTGTTCAGCTCACCTGGCAGCCACTCTCAGAGCCCCTGGAACTCTGGCCCAAGGCTCTCTGACTGACTCCTTCCCAGATCTTCTCATCTTAGCGGCTGAAGACTGACACTGCCCCATCACCTCGGAAGCCTCCTGGACCATCACGGATGCCGAGCTTCGGGTAACTCTTACAGTGGAGGTTAAGTCCGTCCCCTTCTTAATCAATATGGAGGCTACTCACTCCACATTACCTTATTTTCAAGGGCCTGTTTCCCTTGCCTCCATAACTGTCGTGGGTATTGACAGCCAGGCTTCTAAACCTCTTAAAACTCCCCAACTCTGGTGCCAACTTGGACAACATTCTTTTATGCACTCCTTTTCAGTTATCCCCACCTGCCTAGCTCCCTTATTATGTTGAGACATTTTCACTAAATTATCTGCTTCCCTGATTATTCCTGGGCTACAACCACACCTCAATTGCCATCTTTCTCCCCAGTTCAAAGCCTCCTTCACATCGTCTCCTTATATCTCCCCACCTTAATCCACAAGTATAGGATACCTCTACTCCCTCCTTGGCAACAGATAATGCACCCCTTACCATCCCATTAAAACTTAATCACCCTTACCCCGCTCAATGTCAATATCCCATCCTACAGCACTCTTCAAAAGGATTAAAGCCTGTTATCACTTGCCTGTTACAGCATGACCTTTTAAAGCCTATAAACTCTCCTTACAATTCCCCCATTTTACCTGTCCAAAAACCAGACAAGCCTTACAGGTTAGTTCAGGATCTGTGCCCTATAAATAAATAAACCCCTGAATTTACAGGATAAATCACCAATAAGTGAGACATATGCACCATCCTAAATGCTTACATCTCTCAATATCTCTGTATTGAGATAAATGCTTCTATCTCTGTATCAAATCAAAAAATAAGACCACATTTAACATATGAGCGTGCAAAGTGTGAGCTTGCAGAAGAATATTCCATGCCATATTTCTACTTTACAGGAGCACAGAGACAGGGTAAAACCACTCAAGAGATTTAAAAAATAAAATTCACAATGTAAAAAGGAGCATATGTTGGGCAAATGATAAAATACCAAGTCCGTCGGAATAGACTCTAAACAGCCTCAGATGATTGACAACACACTTCAAGAACAGAAAACTTGTTTTAGCTCAGTCATAGATATGTTCTGTGCTCCTAGAATCATAGCAATATGATGTGTCTCACCATTTGCAAGCTAAAGAATCTTGAAGAGCCCCCTGCTCCATGCAAAAGGGAGATTTACGAAGGGTCCCTTCAATTTTCTAAAGCGAGCCTGTATGAGATATAAAATAATCCTCTATGATGCCACAAGGCACGCTTTTGAATCAGAGGCCTCATATATCTCAGAAAGCACCAGCGAGCCTGCTGGATACAGGAACCGCTTGCTCTGTCAGGTGGAAGAAGTGGTGATCCAAAATAAACCTTAGAGTTTTCCTAAATGTAATTTCTAGAATGAGATTACGCTCCTTAGATTGCTTCTGATTTCTTCTGGGAAATCACTGAACCAGTGGAAAGGGATATCTAACCACATTCTTTTAGACCACAGGAAAGTAAAGAAGGAATTTTCTTCTGGACAGAGATTTGTTTTGGCTAACGTGCATATGAGCGTGCTGATTGAAAACACATTGAGAATCCACTCTTTTGTGTTTGGTATTATTATTCTGTATATATTGTGTTTGTCTTGTGATAAATATGTTCCATGTGTGTTAATTTTAACAAAAAACCTACCCTTTTTATTCATGACATTTGTTCTCTGTATTTATGGTTAGAGAATTTGTTAGTGAAATTTTAAAGAAATGATGCCCTATTTAGAAAAAAACAGGTGTTGATGACATGTTGAGGCATTTTCTTAATGACTTGAAATTGTGTAGTTCTTGAAATAAAGCATTGCACATCATCTGTTCCTTAGGCGTGTGTACTTAGTTTTTAGAGTATGCAAATGAATTACATATGTAAAAGTATTTAAAATATTTTAGGTAGCTGCTCTACATAAGATACATTGAACTCATGTTCGTTTAAATGTATTTTATTTTAAAACATCATGATAAGAAGTTTTGCTCTGTATTAACTTAATTTTATTTATACTTGATTTCTTGATTACGTAAAACACAACACAGCCCCTCAGAAATGCACCAAGAAAGGGAGTCAGGAAGGATGAAAACGCTTTGCCGCTTAGCAAGGCCTCTCTGCATTAAAAGATTAGAGAAACTCAGGGTCAGCTCGGTCAGTGAGAGGTCTGTGGTTGTGATTTGTTTTTTGGCTCACTTGGCTGGGCAGTTCTTGGTGGTCCTGAGGGGTGCGTGGCTCACCCAGGCTGCGCGTGTGGCTCCAGCTCCGTCCCCTATTCCAGGCTGGAGGCTTCCTTCTCGCATGAGCTTCCTTCCGGTGGCGGAAGGAAACGCCGGGGAGGGCATACCAACTGCCTATCCTTAAATATTGCAATCCAAAGGAGAGACTCTCATTCTTGGCGTTTTCGCCTCAATTATCCCGGTTGATTTCCACTGGTCCTGCTTGGGTCATTGCCCCGCCCTGAGGAAGTCACCAGGCACGACGATCAGCCAGAGCTGTGTTCTCTGGATGGGTGGTTAGGGGGTGCTGGGATGGGCAGCTCAGGGCAAGAGGGTTTCATTTCCAAAAGACGGAAAGAAGGGAGGCTGCAGACCCACGGCACTGAGACCCCCCAAAGCTGCCTTTCTGGAAGCGGGCTGGAATTGAGCACGGAGCATGAGATAGATGTTTGAGTGAGAATCAACTAGTCTTTTGCAGACTAATAGATATCTTTGAACTAAGGATAACACTTGCTAGGGCTTGCTCTTTCAAAAGCCACATGGAGCAACCCTTTTGTACGGTAGGTGCTAACAGGCATCCGGAAGGTCTCATATGCTGGCCTCAAGTGTGATTAGCAGAGATTTATGAGCATGTTAAATAAAAGTAGACTCAATATTAAATCATTTGGGACCATGAATCGGAGGTGTTTTACATTTTTTAAGGAAGGAAAATGTCACCTAGATTAAATATTAACAGTAGCATACCACAACAGTTGGGGTTGGAGGCATTTCTCTGGTTCTTATACTTTGGGGACCTTTAATCCTTGTCTCTGCTTTTGAGCACCTCTGACCCTTTCCAGCACACATCTTCTGCTGTTACCTTTGCCATTTCATTGCATTTTCTCAGTAGGTTTGGAGAAACATAACTAAGATTTAAGAGATTAAATAAAATACCTCCTGTGTGGCTACCTGGCCTCTTGCTTCACTTTAGAGAACTGCCTAGGATTCCCTGTAGCCATTTATGTTTAGAATGCTGCCCCCAATGGCCAAAAACTGGGAAAGAGCCCTTTTTTTTTTGTCGAAATTTGAAATTTGGAATATTGAACAATCCTATCCTTAGCTGAGGCGAGAGGGGTTCTCATCTTAAGCATCGAGTCTTAAAAAGCCCAAGTATGGCACTCATGCTGTTCCCGGAGCAAACTGAGGGTCAGGGTATTTCTCGCAGCCCAATAACGAGATGCAGTTGAACTGGGGAGGAAGAGAGTTTTTATTTTCTGCAACTGGTTACAAGGAGAAGGCCTGGAAATTATCGCCAGACCAACTCAAAATTACAAAGTTTTCCAGAGCTTATTTACCTTCTGAGCTCTATGTCTATGAGTAAGTGTGCATTCATCCAAAGACATAAGTGATTAACTTCTTCTAGTCTATAACTAAGGTCTTAGTCCCGAATACCTTCCTCTGGAACCTCAGTAAATTTACGTCATCTAAATGGGTCTAGGTGCTGGGGTAATTACCCTTATCTTGTCTCCTGATAAATCACGGAGGTTTGGGGAATTTCTTCAGACCCCCAATAAGCTCATCTGTGGAGGCCTGGGGAGTTTCTTCAGACCCACAATAAAACTTGTTTAACCCTAAATGGCCCTGTTAAAAATTCCTTTGTTATTTTGTCGTGCTTTAAGGCCCAGGAAAGGCCTAGGCAAAACTCTTGGTGGGCTTTTTTACGTTCCAGACTTTGTATGAGGGCACTGGCTTTTAATCTTTAACTTCACTACCCAGTCAGTACTAAAACAGTTGTTACGGAGGCCTGGCCTGCCACAATGCCACACATACACGCAAAACATACATGTGCACACACATGCACGTGCACACACACATTCAGTCCAGAACACAGCTCACTCAGAATTGCTGCTTTGCTCTCGTCTAAACATTACAACTGCAACCATAAATATTTGCCCTCCTAGCCAACAATGCTCAGGTCTAAGGAAAATACAGTCGACCCTCATTATCTGTGAATTCTGTATTCGCAAATTTGCATATTCACTAAAGTTAATTTGCAATCTTCAAATCAATACTTACAGTACTTCTGCAGGTGTTCTCGGATAGCCACAGGTCAGCAAACATTTGTGTCACCTGAAACGCATGATGTTCTGTGTTCTTGTTTCAGCTCTCATAATATGAACAAGTCTTCTTTACATCATCTATTTAGTGCCATGTGGGTTTTTTTTTTTTTTTACAGAGTCTTGCTCTCTCACCCAGGCTGGAGTGCAGTGGCGCAATCTCAGCTCACTGCAACCTCTGCCTCCCTGGTTCAAGTAATTCTGCCACAGCCTCCAGAGTAGGTGGGATTACAGGCATGCACCATCTCATCTGGCTGATTTTTATATTTTTAACAGAGATGGGGTTTCACCATATTGGCCAGGCTGGTCTCAAACTCCTGACCTCAAGTGATCCACCTGCCTCGGCCTCCCAAAGTGCTGGGATTACAGGCGTGATCCACCGCGCCCGGCCTGTGTTTCGTTTGTTTGTTTTGCATTTTTATGCTTTTTTTTGGTGATTTTGCTGTTTTCACTGTGGCCACTGGACATAATGGTGAAGTGCTGTCCAGTACTCCTAAGCACAGAGGCCGGGATGTGTCTCATGGAGAAAGGACAAGGGTTTGAGAAGCTTTGTTCAGGTGTGAGTTATATTACAGTGCGGTTGGCTGTAAGTTCAATGTGAATATATGCTCAATAAGGTGTCTTTAAACAGAAAAACACACAAAGTGCAGTACTGATTGCTTGATGAAAATGTTGTGACCTGAGTCTCACAGCCCTGGATTTCCCCTAGGAGCGGGGGTTCCGTGTTTGCCAATTCTGTGCTTGCAGTGACTTTATAAAACATGACTACCATGGATAGCGAGAATGGACTGTGTGTCACACCTCCTCTTAAGACTTTTAAATGAAAGGCAACTGTGCCCAAATGCCAGGAAGCTTAGTGGGTTCTGGTTCTGTATATATTGGTGCTAGACCATGTTTCAGTGTGGAGAGTGGAGCTGGAGAAATGCTTAGGTAAGAGAAACGGCAAAGTAATTAACTTGTCAAGTCCTTCGTCACATGTAGCTGAATACAAAGGACTCTTGTAATGAAAAATGTCATTTCCCAGCAGGGTACATTGTCCATTTTCTTGCTTCTCTTCCTGTTGCCTTTGCACATGGTGACTGTCCTTACAGTGCAATTGCAAACAATCCATACTATTGCTAAGTTTACAGATATGTAGGTCTAAACATGACATAGGTGAGACATGGGAGTCTCTACACTGCCAATGAGGTGAACCTGAACACTAGAATAGTTTTACTTTTATAAAATTATTTACTAAGATTTTTTTAATGAAAGAAAATTTAAAAATTAGCACTGCTTAACTTTATTTTTAAATTCTGTATTCATTGATTGGAGTTGGTATTTTCTTTTTAATTATAATAATTTTAAATGTTTAAAAGAAAAGTAACTTTTTAAAAAGCATATTTAAAAATAATTTCAACTCTTTTCATATATTTATGCTTGAATTTTCATTTTGATAAGAATACAATCAACTTGGCATACTCTGCATATGAAGTCATTTTATCTTTAATCTTTTACATGACTACTGGCAAATAGAACATGAATTATATTAAAAGTTGGTTATAATGAGATAATTGGCTATTTTGCTGAAATGAAGGGAAGAATAACTTTTTCAAAAAGCATGCAAACATTTATAAATTATTTATATATTTTATTATGCATCCAAACCTTGATGGACCTTTAACAGAACACCTAGATATGTGCACAAATAGACTGCCTTTAGTAATTTGTCAACCTCCAGTTATAGAAAAGTCACAGCTTTGAGATATATCTCAAAAAGTATCCATCTAGGGCACTCCATTCTTTGTGGCATATTAGCTATATTAGCTAAAGTTTGTTTTTGGGTATCTGACACACAGTGCATGAGCCTCTCTTTCTCCTCTCACTCAGGGTCCCCTGAATGCAGGGACAGGAGGATTGATCCAGAAACACCTGCTCACCTCCTCAGCACCAGCCTACTTTCCTCTCTTCCATTTCTGGAGTTTTTAAACTTGCTTTCTGATGATATGTTGTAAAATCTAAAAAGCTCCCATCAACTAGGAAAAGACTGGTTGTTCAATAACTTGATAAGAAACAGCTGCAGCACAAGTTTTAAACCCAGCCCACTGGCCAATGAGAATGGTGGCTGTGAGCACATACCTGCAAGCCAGCCAATTAGTGTCAGCCCTCGCTCTGGAAATCAGCCAATCAGGGCTAAGCACTTCTGCAACTGTGCTCCTGAGAGCCAATCACAGTGCTGTGCCGGCAGACGGTGTCAGCAGATGATGTAACTCTCCTGCCTCTAAGAGTCCCCAGCCTTGAGCTCCAGGTGCCCCAATCCCTATCTGAGATCAATACCTTACTCTCTTCAGGGATGCTATGGCTGCTAGGAGAGCCATCTCCTTTAGTGTAGGAAGCAGTGAATCCAGCTCTGTCTGTGTATTCTGGGTAGTGTGTTGGTCATCATCCTTGACTGTGCCCTGCCTCAGTCTCCACACCTCCACTTGTGCCCCACAAACACTGAGTGGGCTCCTGCTGCCTCTGTAGAAAACGGGGGTATATGATCTGGCAGTTGCTCAGTACAATCTTCCAACTGAAAGCTTGAAGAAACCCAAGGCTTTTCAAAGGCAGTCCTTACATATCACCCATGGGATGGTGAGTGAGGGGGACCAGCACCTCCCTTGGGGACTTAGATTCTATCGGGCAGAGACAGTGAGGAAGTGTGAGGAGGACCCAGGGTCACCTTCCAAGGGACCTGGAGGGTGGCAGAATCCAGCAGGCACCAGGGACTGGGATCAGAGAAGAATGTCCTGGCTGGAGGACAAGGTCAGGAGCCTTTGTGATGGCCCCAGTGATGTCTTCTCTTGACATCCACACTCTCATTTAGTCCCTGCCCCCATCACCAGTGAGGGTTGGTCTGTGCAGCCAATAGAGTATGGGAGGAAAGACAGTGTGTTTCCGGAGAGGTGCTGCCAGGGCTGTGGTCCGTTCTGGCTCTTCCTGGCTGTCTGCTGCTCTCTCTCTCCCTCTCTTTTTGTGTCTGTCTCTCTCTCAGGATGTGTTTGCCTCTCTCTCAGGATGTCTCTGTCTCTCTCTGTCTTTCTGTTTCTGTCTCTCAGGATGTCTCTATCTCTCTCTCAGTCTTTCTGTCTCTGTCTCTCTCTCAGTCTTTCTGTCTCTGTCAATCTCTCAGTCTCTCCCTTCTAGTTGTGCCTCTCCATCTTTTTCTATCCATATCCCTCCACCTCCATAACTTGCTCTGGGGAGAACCTGCTGCCCTGTCCAGCGGCCCCATGGAGTGCCCTGCAGAGAGGCTGACGCCCAGTCCCCAGCCTCCTCCCCATCATTGGAACTCTCCTTCTGCTTCTTCTTCCCTCGAGCAATGTGCTCTTTGGCTTGGTTTTAAAGACAGAATATTTGTAGAAGATAATTTTGGAGGATGAAAAACTGTCAACCAAACATTTTACAACTGTTGTCCTGATGGCGGCTGCACGCGGGGCTCTGCAGTTTGACAGGCTGGAACCTACTGCAGCACTGGGAAGGCCTTGCGGAGGGAGCACTGTGCCAGGAGCATGGCTGGGACGCTGCTCTGTCATTCCATGTGGACTGGGAGTGGCAGGGAAGAGGAGGACAGAGTGAAAGACTTGCACACGTAGAGAAAGCCTCCACTGACTGAAGGTTTGATTAGATGGGCAGCAGTCAGATTTTTGACTAAATTCTCTCCAGGGGAATGGCTGTCAGGCTGGAAGATTGGTGTCAAATAAGCAAGGAAAGCCCATTGAGAATGAAACGCTAATGAAGTAAAGATAGCCATCGAACGCTACTAGGGCCAGGGTGTCACAGAGCCTCTTTCGATGGCTTTTCCCAAGTGGAGGGAAAAGGAACATTTCCAGGGATGCTGCCTCCAGCCCTGCTGACTCCCCTGTCACCAGACCGAGTCATAGCATCGCCCAGCCTCCAAGGCCAGATGCAGATTGAAGCTGCACTCTGCAGAGCTCGGGAGGGACATGGGGGCCCAGGACACATGGACTAGATGGCCTGCGGTCAAATGAAAAAGAGGGAGGCATGGGGGGCACAGGGAGGGAAGTTCTGCTGGGCCTGCTGACCCTCGACCTGGCCTGTGGCATCTGTGAGCCAGGAGCAGGGAGGGTCCTAGCACAGGCCTGTGTGCCCGCATCAGGGACAGTTGGTCCTGCAGTTCAGTGCAGGCAAGGAGCTCATACCTTAGCACACACAACCAGAAAGAAGGGTGGGGGAGAGAGAGAGAGAAAGAGAGAATAGAGAGAGAAAGAGAGACATAGAGAGAGAGAGGAACAGAGAGAGAGAGGAAGAGAGAAAGAGAGAGAGAGGAGGAAAGGAAGAGAGAGGAAGAGAGAGAGAGACAGACACAGAGAGAGGCACGCAGGAACAGAGAGAGAGGGGAAGAGAGAGGGAGAGAGAGAAAAAAGAGGAAGAGAGAGGGAGAGGAAGAGAGAGAGAGAGGGAGAGAGAGGAAGAGAGAGAGAGAGAGGGAGAGAGAGGAAGAGAGAAAGAGGAAATGAGAGAGAGAAAGGAAGGAAAGAAGGAATGGAGGAAGGGAATAAAGGAAGGAGGGAAGGGAGGAGGAGGAAAGAGGGAAGGAAGGAATGAGGGAGAATGAGAGGAAGAGACAGAAAGGAAGGAGGGAGGCGAGAGGAAGGAAGAAGGGAGGGAAGGGAGGGAGAGAAGGAAGGAGGGAGGAAGGAAGGAGGGAGGAAGGAAGGAGGGAAGGAAGAAAGAAGAGAGAGAGAAAAAGAAGAGAGGAAGAAAGGAAGGAAAAGAGGGAGAGAAGGAGGGAGGGCGGGAAAGAAAAGCTCCCTTCTCTCTCAGCCCCTCCCACCCCTGGTCCTGCCTTCATCCTGCTTCATTGGAGAGCAGGGGCCACACCACCTTTGGAAAGCATTTGCCCTCCGTCCAGCCACCTTCCAGCCATAACCTGGGAGCAGAAAGGAGAAGGAAAATGCCCAGAGTCTGGGGAACAAACAACAGAATTATGCAGATTGCAGATGATTTTTTTTGCAGGGGGGAGTGGATGGTCCTGGTGGGCTACAGAATTAGAGAAAGGGAAGAGTTTACTGTGTTCGGAATCTTCCAGTAAATAGAAAAACTCAACTCTCATTTAAGGAACCATCTGTCTTTCTGGTGGAAAGGGATTTACCCTTGAGAGTACAGATGAGCTTCACAGGAGGGGACACAGAATACTGCACAACTAAAGCAAATGAAGTCCCAGGCGAGCGGTAAAACAGGAAGAAAAGCAGCGTCAGGGCCGTGAAGCCGTGGGGACACCAGGCTTCCAAGAACGGTTTACATTCCCCCAAAACAAGCCAGATAGGCAACGCCCGCGTGGAGGGGGGAGGAGGAGGAGGAGCAGGTGGGGACCTGGGGTGTTCCTGGCTATGTTTTGCGGTCTAGTGACCTTCCTCCTCCTCTATTACTCTTCCGCATTTCAATTCCCTTTAAAAGAACACTAAACACTTTTAGACACAATCTGTTCTGGGTCAATATTTGTTTCACCTTGGCAAAGCTTCCTATACAAACCTGTGATCATATGCCTTTGTTTTCTCACTTCAGGTACAAGGTAAGACCCCAGCAATAGTAAATGATAGCATGAGGGTTTCATGACGATGTAATTTTATTTTTTACGACCACTGCTGGTTAGACTTTTTATTATCGTGATATGACTCATTTTTACAGAGAGGTGAGCACAAGATGGGCCAAATATGAGATGTGGAATCAGGAAAAACAGAAAAAGTGGAAGAAATGGCAAACGTGGACGTGAGAGCAGCTGGGTTTTCTAGCTCTGGGCGTCTGCAGGAATCATGTTCCAGGAAGGGCTGGGAGAGGCTGCGGGGAAAAGGAAGGGGTGCAGGGGAGTGTGCCCCACCCTTGCCCTGTGCCTGCAGGTGGGCCGGACTTGGACCCTGCCTGGATGATCTGCGAAGAAATAGGGTTCCAAAAGGGCAGATCCCAAGACAATGCCTTATAAAGGTCCTGGCTAACGTTTCCATGGCAGCTTGCTGAGTGGCCGAGCTGATCTCAGCCCTTCCAGGGGTGACTCATTGACTCCTCCCAAGCTGGAGAGGTGAGAGTTCTTTTCCGGTTTACATATCAGGAAGCTGAGGCATGGAAAGGTGAGGTGATTTGTCCCGGGTTACACCTTCAGGAGGTGGTAGAGGCAAGGTTTTATTCATTTGTTAGGATGATCCACGTTTTTAACCACCTGCCAGTCATCCCGGGGTAGAAAGCTCAGACTTCCTCTTAGCAGCAGACTTTTCTAGCCTTGTTTTCTCACTGGCAAAGAGGGGATCACAGGGCTTAACTCACTGTGATGATGGAAGGACTCACATGAGCTATTTTATGAAAGCTGTTAGGAAGCCTGGGACGTGGTGAGCACTTGATACCTGGTGGGCGCAGGACTGGACGAGGGAAAACTTGGGCTGAGAGCCCTGTGCTCAGGACACCGTGAGGACACCCGGCAGGTGCATGGATGCACTTGGCGAGGCTGGGAGAGGAGTGATGTTTCACTAAAGACCACTCCCCTTCTTTTCCCTCCACTGACATCTTCCAGGTAGCTGGAGACCACCCTGGCTGAGCTGTGATCAGTCGCATCTAGACTAGTTTGGTGTTTCAGAGCAAGTCTCTCAAATGCCCTGTGCCTCAATGCTCTCATCTGCACGTTGGAAGAAAGAATTCCTGCTTCCCAGAGCCGTTGGGAGGAGTAACAGAGGTGAAGTGTGTAAAGTACACACGAAAGGAACTCAGCTGACAGCAGCATCTTCACTGGTACCCTTATCGTTGTTTTAATTATTGCATTGTCGTCCAAGCTGATGGACTGAGGGGGGTCATTCCAGTGGACACGGGGGAGCTGAGCTGTGAGGGTCCTGGATTGCGTGGGGCCATGTCTGACCTGCAGATGCTGCAGAGTTTGGGTCGAGTTACACGTGGAATTGGGGAATCCCCACTGAAGGGCGCTCTCTGGCCTTTTAGTGGCCACGGTTTGCAATTTCTTGAGCCAGGGTCACCCTGAACATTCATTTCAAGAAACAGGCTGATTTCACGTAGCTTCTTTCTGACTAATAAATTCAAACCATCCTTCTCCTGAATCCACCTCAGCCTGGGCCTGAGCAACACGTGGCATGCTGGGTTTGCTCTGAGCACCTGCTCTGGAGACCCAGAGCCTTTGTTGACCTTCTGCTGGTCAATGGAAGCCCTGCAGTGGAGGCTCCAGGGAGTGTGCACACCGCGCCTTCACCAGCGCTGGGACCCCAGACCCAAAACTCTGAGGGAATTCCAGCTTGCATGAGGTTGGGGCACTCAGGAGACAGACCTCCTGGGCTCCAGGGGCTTTGCAGGCTGCTGGCCAGTGGAAGACCAGCTGCGACCCACTCTCTGCCAGGCTGGGGCTGCACAGATGCCCAAGGACAGGGCTTCATGCCTCACACAACTTTCTGATTAAAAGGCAATCAATTAAAATAAATCCCTTCGTTTCTAGGGAAGCCCCATCACACAGGCATCATCTGGGCTTGCGTTCTGACATCAGGGGAAGCTGTGAAATCACACAGCAATAAATAATAAAGGCTTGAGATTAAAGTGCTGATCCTTATTCCCAAATTGATTTTAAATATAATGAGGGTTATTATTTATACAATGATCCAGTAAAACTTAAAGTTCATTAAATGTCTCTCTGAGTCTTTGATTATTTTTTAACTGATTTGGCCAATATCTGTAAGTGTTTTCTATTATCCAAACCATATTTATACCTATATATCTATGTCTATATCTATATCTATCTATGTATATCCCATACAAATATAAATTCAGGCAAATTCAGTTAAAAGATAAATAAATAACAATATCTCATATATATGATATATATAATCCATATATATTATATATAATCCATATATATCATATATATAATCCATATATATCATATATATAATCCATATATATATATAAAATGTATACCCCATGTAGACATGGGGTATATATTTTAACCTAAATGCATTGCTTTAACTTCACTCATGACTTCATGCAACCAACAGCTCCTGTCATCATGTACCTAGGAACGATTGAGTAACTGGCAAAAGCCAGTTATTTCATGTCATTTCTGCTGACTGAAATTCAGAATAAATACTGCTAACATTTTCCTGTGTGGAGGTTCAAATTTAATATTTTGTGAATCCGGCTAGGCACAGTGACTCATGCCTGTAATCCCAGCACTTTGGGAGGCCGAGGAGGGTGGATCATGAGGTCAGGAGATCGAGACCATCCTGGCTAACATGGTGAAACCCCGGCTCTACTAAAAATACAAAAAAATTAGCCGGGTGTGGTGGCGGGTGCCTTTAGTCCCAGCTACTCGGGAGGCTGAGGCAGGAGAATGGCATGAACCCGGGAGGCAGAGCTTGCAGTGAGCCGAGATCGCACCACTGCACTCCAGCCTGGGTGACAGAGCAAGACTCCATCTCAAAAAAAAAAAAAATTTGTGAATCCCCCCAACTCTCTGACAAATTCAGTGGTTGTTAATTTCTTTAATAACAATCCATCCTGTCTTCAAACACTAAGCCTCTTTCTAACCTCAAAGAAACCCCAGCAGATGTTTAGTTCTTTAAACCATCAGAATGCTCAGTGCTGTGAACATTATTTACTCAACAACTACTTCCGGAGCACTTACTTTGTAAGATCACAGGAAATCCTGCAGCAAAGCCGCCATTAATGTCAAGGTTTCCATTGTGCCCTAAAGGATCCTTTCTGGCCAGGCACAGTGGCTCACATCTGTAATCGCAGCACTTTGGGAGGCCGAGGTGGGTGGATCATGAGGTCAGGAGTTCGAGACCAGCCTGGTCAACATGGTGAAACCCCATCTCTACTAAAAATACAAAAATTAGTTGGGTGTGGTGGCGTGTACCTGTAATCTCAGCTACTTGGGAGGCTGAGGCAGGAGAATCACTTGAACCCTGGAGGCTGAGGTTGCAGTAAGTGAAATTGTGCCACTGCACCCCAGCCTGGGTGACAGAGCCAGACTCCGTTTGAAAAAAAAAAAAAAAAAAAAGGATCCTTTCTATGGATAGGAGGGGAGGGAAGAGGCTGCATCAACAGGCCAAGTGGATGTTCTCCCTGCAGACACTGTTGAGCCAATGTGGGGCATTAATCAAAGCTCACCAGTGCCTCAGACCAGCCTCCAGGGTACATGGTGCCTGGGGCTGGTGGGCAGCTGCTGTCCATGTCTGCCTTGACCAGCTGTGTTAAGGGTTTCTGAAAGGTAGCTTGTTCCCAAATCTGTGCCTTCTGTGTTTTTTAGTGTAATTTCATAATTTAACAAAATGTTTGATAAACCCATGAAATACAAGATCCAAAAGGATGGATGAGATGTGTTATTGCTGTACAGTTAACTGAATGCTCTGGAAAGATTAAATACAAACTACAAATGCTGTTGAATTAGACATGTGCAAGAAAACTAAGAATCGTTGAGAAACATTAAAAAAATCGAGATAGATTCTCAGATATCTTTAAAGATAAGTTCTTGATCTGTTTTAAGAAACAGTTGCATTCTTTCATGCTCGGTGGCTGTATTTTGAGGAACGAGGCACTGGGAGTGGCTTTCTAGGGGCTGGGGGCTGAGCAGAGGCCTGGCACCTGCGAAAGCATCAAAGAACAACTCCCATTGTGTCGTTTAGGCTAACAAGCAATATTTGTTGTCATTATTTTCTCTGCTTAACCCATTTTTAAAAATGAGCTTTTTTTTTTTTAAAGCAGTTGTGGGTTTGTCGCACAATTGAGTAGGAGGTACAGAGATTTTCCAAAAAACTCCCCTGCCCCCACACATAGCCTCCCTCACTACCAACACCCCCACTAGAGCGGTCCATTTGTTACCATCCATGCACCTATGTCACCGACACACCCTTGTCACCCAGCATTCAGAGTTTACGTCAGGGCTCAGCTTTTTACCTGTTAGGAGGGAGTGGCCACCTCCAAGCCCCTTACATCCTAGGTGGGAAGCTGGAAGCTCTTCTTCACCAACTTTTAAATTTAATCGACCTCCTACTCATACAACTTTTGCTGCATGGGAGCTTTGGAAGGTTAAAAAAAAAAAAAAAAGAAAAAGAAAGAAAGAAAAAAAGAACTGATCCCTCCAAAAAGGAACACTGAAGTGCTGAGGTTCCCAGATGAAATCACAGCTCACAGCGTCATCACAGGAATTTCTGGATAGAAGCAAGCAAGTGCTTTGGGGGCAACTGAAGTTCATTCTTTGACCACTGTCTGCTCTCCGCTGTGCCCGTGAGCACAGCTGGCCAAGCCGATGGCAGAAACGGGCAAGGATGTCCTGATCCTCTAGCTTCCGGCGGGGTGTAAGCAACCCCGGCACGTTTATCCAAAACACGCCCATCCCGCTGCCCTGCAACGCCTTGTGAATGAATCGTGGACCTCCAGCGCCAATCACTGTTCAGGGGCTTCCTGCCTGCTCTGCGCTGTGCCCTCTGGTGCCTCGGCTTTTGGAGAGAGTTGAAAGACTCTTCACTTATCACGCACTGGTCCCACAGTAGAGGACCTAGCGATGGACACGGGACACTGGGCAGGATTCAATTATGTTTCTCAGTTTGATCGAATGCTGCTGAGTCATTTTCTTTCTTTTTTTTTTTTTTTTTGCTTTGTCACCCAGACAGTGGGGTGACCACGACTCACCACAAACCTTGACCACCCAGGCTCAAGCAAATCTCCCCGTCTAGCCTCCTGAGTAGCCGGGGCAACAGTTGCATGCTATCACGCCTGGCTAGTTTTTTATTTTTTGTTTTTTGTACAGATGAGGTCTCACTATGTGGCCCAGGCTGGTGTTGAAATCCTGGGCTCAAGAAATCCTCCCACCTCAGCCTCCCAAGTGCTGGGATTACAGGCATGAGCCCCCATGCCCAGCCTCTGAATCATTTTCTTTAGGTTAGCAAACTATTCGGCCAGATCTTTTAAATACATGAATGCTTTATTGTTTTGTTTTCCTTTAACTCATTCTGTTCTCCACACTCATTTAAGGAGACAAGTCTGTTCATTTCTCCACCAGATACATTTTACTGTAGGATTTGGGAGTGACAAAGCCGCGAGTCATTTAAACAGCGGGGTTGCATGGCTCAGAAGAGTTGACTACTCACATAAGTCAGTGTATTGGCGGAGGAGGAAAAATACTCCTTTAAATACGAGTAATAAAACAATATTAAAAGTAGACCAGGCTGGACGCAGTGGCTCATGTCTGTAATCCCAGCACTTTGGGAGGCTGAGATGGGTAGATCACAAGGTCAGGAGTTTGAGACTAGCCTGACCAACATGGTGAAACCCCACGTCTACTAAAAATACAAAAATAGCCAGGCACGATGGCACGTGCCTGTAATCGCAGCTACTCAGGAGGCTGAGGCAGGAGAATCGCTTGAACCCAGGAGGCGGAGGTTGCAGTAAGCTGAGATCGCGCCATTGTACTGCAGCCTGGGTGACAGAGCAAGACTCCATCTCAGAAAAAAAAAAAAAAAAAAGTAGACCAAGGTTCCCCTCAAGCAACTGCTTTCATTCAAGTATGTTTTTCTTTCTCCTCGGAATGCTCCCTTAGTCACTCACTGGCTGTGCGAATCTGGGCAAACTGATTTTTCTGTCTGTGCCTCAGGTTCCTCTCTGTGACACAGGGAACGTGATCATGCCAACAACATCCTTTGCTGTGAACATCAAACAAACAAACACATGTGATGAAGTTACAACAGCCCCTAGCCCATAGGAGGAACTCAGATGTAAGTATTATTGTTTCAGTGTTCCCTTTGAAGATAAAAGACAAGCCCCAATACTCTGCAAGTTGTCTTGCTCTGTGCTGGACTTTCCACAAACCAGAGGATGTCAGAACAGTTTCCAGAATTTTCCATGCTAAAAAAGAATCATATGAAATTGTGGCAGGCCAGGTCTCACTAATGCAGGCCTCCGTAACAACAGTTTCAGTAGGCCTTTCCTGGGCCTTAAAGCATGACAAAATAATGAAGGAATTCTTAACAGGGCCCATTTAGGATTAAACAAGTTTTATTGGGGCCTGAAGGAACTGCCCAAACCTCCATGATTTAGCAGGAGACAAGATAAGGGTAATCACCCCGGAACCTGGACCATTTGGTGAAGTAAACTTACTGAGGCTCGAGAGGAAGGTCTTCAGGACTCAGATATTAGTTATAGACTAGAAGAAGTTTATCATCTGTGTCTTTAGATGAATGCTTAGAAGGTAGATAAGCTCTGGAAAACTTTGTAATTTTGAGTTTGTCTGGCAATAATTTCCAGGTCTTCTCCCTGTAACCGGTGGCAGAAAATAAAATCTCTCTTCCTCCCCAGTTCATCTGCATCTCATTATTGGGCTGAGAGAAATAGCCGCCTGCCCCTCAGTTTGGTCTGAGAACAAAACATCTGAAGCATGCGATTATTTTCGCAACACTTGTCTTCCGTTTCTGCCATAGCCTGTTAAAGGAGTTCTGCAATGTGTGGGGCCAAACTGCAGCTCAGAGAGTCTCCAGTCAAGAAGGAAGCTGGCCAGGAACTACTGGACGCTTGGAAATGTCCAGCCTGTCCCCAATTCCTGTTCCCCTGGGCAGCTGCCCCCGCCTTGCTGAGGGCTTGAGTCTCCTTTCTCCGACAGTAACATTTACCAATGCTAACATGTTTGTTTTCTCCTCTTTGGAGAAATGTTTGTGATAAATATGCAATATTGATTGCAGAGGTACTGATTGTGATGGCTTATTTAATATGTATTGTTCTGGAATGTAGATCAACTTCTATATTGAAAGGCAGAAATGTCTGAAGTGGTTTAATATTTACCCTGCTTTGCTGCTTTCAGATTGAATGCTTACATTTTTGGTTTCTTTTTCTTTTTTGAGGCAGAGTCTCGCTCTGTTGCCCAGGCTGGAGGGCAGTGGCGCCATCTTGGTTCACTGCAACCTCCACCTCCCAGGTTCAAGTGATTCTCGTGTCTCAGCCTTCTGAGCAGCTGGGACCACAGGTGGGCGCCACCACACCCGGCTCATGTTTGTATTTTTAGTAGAGACGGGGTTTCGCCATGTTGACCAGGCTGGTCTCCAACTCCTGGGCCTCAATCAACCCACCTGCCTCGGCCTCTCAAAGTGCTGAGATTACAGGAGTCAGCCACCACACCCAGCCCTGAACTTTTACTTTTAATTATTCCAGAGACAGTAACAATCAAGATATACCAATTGTGGCTCAAAGTGAGAAGTGAGAATTCTAGCTAAAATTGTAAGAAAAAAAAAAACCAAACTGTAACAACCAACCTACCAGATAAAGAAGAGAGCCAGGATTTTTAATTTTAAAATTTCTCAGAAATGTTATAGAAATGTATCATTGTATTAAATGCAAGCTGTATTGATCAGATTTGTGAAAATTCAGTTTTCTTTCCTAGTTTTCTTACAGCCCTGGGATTTAAATGACTTTTCCAGAAAAAAAAAACCAAACCAGAATAATCCATAATTTGTAAGGAGAAAATCAAGACTGGATAATTATTTTACTTTTGAAATTTTTTTCTTGATTATAGTTTAAAAGGTAGATTGGAGTCTGCAGGTACCATAAGACTGAATTTACAAGGATTTGTTCATTGTTTTCAGAGAATGAAATCTGTATTCAGCATTTCAGACACTAGAGGGAAGCGTTTGACTGACTTAAGGCTCCTCCAGTTCAAGAGGAGAGAGAGAGGGAGAGAGAAACTCAAATGCTCCTCTGCGATAATGTCCATTTTTTTGTTGTTGTTTTCCCTGATTTTCTCTCCCTTTTTTCTTTCCCTCCCTCCTTCCTCACTTCCTTCTTTTATTTTGTCTTTCTGTTTTCTTATAAAGGCAATCTTCTTAAGAGCTCAAATGAACATTCATATTTTATGCATTTAGAGAACAAAGAGGCCATGAGGTGTGTTCTCACTGTAATGGACACCAATCACGGTGTGAAATCACGGCACCTGGTTTTGGTCCTTAAACACCATTTGAAACCTTTGTTAGGTCAGTGGATATTAATTTCTGGGGCTATGTTTCCTCTCCATTTTTCCTGGGTTCTTTATTCCACCTGGAAGACGTTTCCCTCTGAAGTTGCTGGAGAGCAGAAGCAGGCCTGAAGCTCATCCTTCTAGGGAGCCTGCTGAGACTGTGACCGAAGTGTGAGTTCGTCACGGTCCTCACAGTCTTCATGGTCCTCACAGTCCTCCCTGGCTGCAGTGCGGTAACCGCACCCTGGCCCTTGGTGGACCAGGCAAAGAGGCGCCCTAGTCGACAGGGAGGAAGGCTATGGGCTCCTGCACTTTTTTTCTTTTCTTTTCTTTCTTCTTTCTTTCTTTCTTTCTTTCTTTCTTTCTTTCTTTCTTTCTTTCTTTCTTTCTTTCTTTCTTTCTTTCTTTCTTTCTTTTTCTTTTTTTTTTAAGACAGGATCTCACTCTGTTTCCCAGTCTGGAGTGCAGTGGTGCAATCATGGATCACTGCAGCCTTGACCTCCTGGGCTCAAGCAATCCTCCTGTCTCAGCCTCCCGAGTAGCTAGGACTATAGGCAAACATTACCATCTGTAGATAATTTTTAAAATTGTTTTTTGTAGAGACAGGGTCTTCATATGTTGCCCAGCTTGGTCTCGAGCTCCTGGCCTCAAGGGACCCTCCCACCCCAGCCTCCCAAAGCATGGGTATCATAGACATGAACCATCAAGCCCAGCCTCCAGCACTTTTTAAAAACTTTAAAATAGAATTAATAACAGTGGTTACTTTATGGGGTTTTGAGGATCCTATGATCATGGCATCTGGCATACAGGAAGTACTCAACGTTTATTACTTATTCTTGTTTTAAGTTCTAGTTATTTTAAAATCTCTTATTTCTTGTTAAAAACAGGTTGGAATTATTGCACTATATTGCACTATAATAATAATGATAATAATAATATTGTAACTGGTAATCCTTAAAATCTTCCTCCTAGACCATATAAACTGCTAAATGTTGAGAACTATGATTCTTGTTTGACATGTAGGGGAGTCACCTAATCCATACATTAAGGAATAAGAAATATCTTTTCAAGTATTCCTGTATTCAACTTAAAATAATATCTCCATCCCACGGAATTGTATTTTCACCTTCTTGATTGCCAACAAAAGAATGCTATAGCATAGAATATATTTTGTAATATTCTTTGATTTAGAGTTTCAGATTTCTGACCCACGGAAAGGCAAGATATTCTAATTCTGCACTGCCCAGTAGGGTGGCCTCTAGCCACATGTGGCCACTGAGATCCTGCAGTGTGGCCTGTCCAAGCTGAACCGAACTCTTGGTGGGAAATGCTCACCAGATTTGAAGACTTTGTATGACAGAATGAACAGAAATATCTTGACATTTTTGTCTCAGGTATATGTTAAAATAATATTTCACATATTGGGCTTAAAATATATTATTATTATTATTATTATTATTATTATTATTATTATTATTATTATTTTGAGACCAAGTCTTACTCTGTTCACAGGCTGGAGTGCTGTGGTGCAATCTTGGCTCACTGAAACCTCCGACTCCCTGGTTCAAGCAATTCTCCCTCCTCAGCCTCCTGAGTAGCTAGGACTACAGGCATGTGCCACTACGCCCAGATAATTTTTGTATTTTTAGTAGAGACGGAGTTTCACCATGTTGGCCAGGATGATCTTGATTTCCTGACCTCGTGATCTACCCACCTCAGCCTTGCAAAGTGCTGGGATTACAGGCGTGAGCCACTGTGCCCGGCCTTAAAAATATATTATTAAAATTGCTTCTATCTGTTTCTACTTAATATGCTTTAGAAAATTTAAAATGGCATCTGTGGCTTGCATTGTATTTCCATTGCAGTGCTCTCCTAACTAATTTTGTACATCAGAAAATTCAAACTATTACTTATTATAGCCTAATATTTTATTTTATTTTATTTTTTGGTTACAGGATCTTGCTCTATCACCTGGGCTGGAGTGCAGTGGCATGATCGCGGCTCACTGAAGCCTCATCCTCCTGGGCTCAGGTGATCCTCCTACCTCAGCCTCCCAAGTAGCTGAGACCACAGGCATGTGACACCACACCCAGCTAAGTTTTGCATTTTTTGTAGAGATGGGTTTTCACCACGTTGCCCAGGCTGGTCTTGAACTCCAAAGCTCAAGCCATCCTTCTGCCTCAGCCTCCCAAAGTTTTGGAATTACAGGTGTGAGCCACAGCATCTGGCCAATCTTAATATTTTAAAAAGTCAAACAAACTGATGGAGAAAAACAGGTTGAGGATGCATTCACTTGAGAGTTATTTATTAATTATCAATTATTATTATTATTATTATTATTATTATTATTATTATTATTGTTATTTTTTGAGATGGAATTTTGCACTTGTTGCCCAGGCTGGAGTGCAATGGCGCCATCTTGGTTCACCACAACCTCAGCCTCCTGAGTTCAAGCAATTCTCCTGCCTCAGCCTCCCGAGTAGCTGGGATTACAGGCGCCCACCACCACACCCAGCTAATTTTGTATTTTTAGTAGAGACGGGGTCTCTCCATGTTGGTCAGGCTGGTCTTGAACTCCTGACCTCAAGTGTTCCACCCCCCTCGGCCTTCCAAAGTGCTGGGATTATAGGCATGAGACACCGCGCCTGGCGAGAGGTATTTAAAAGGGGTCCACCCAGCAGGCCCTACCCATCCCTTCTCATTTGCTCTTCCTGTAGGTTTGATGACCTCTGAATAATTTGTCTTTTCGGAAAAGTGGCAAGTAAAGCCCTTTTTTTCCTTCTTCCTTACTTTCTTGGAAAAGCCGAGTGTGAATATGAATTATCAGCAAACTCATCAAACTTGGATGAAGGAAGGTGCTGGATTCTATCTGCGAGGGTTCCTGGGGTCCGATTTCGTGGCGTGGTTCTGGTCAGTGCAGGAGCGTGTGCTCTGCTGAGGGATCACGGAGGCCTCCTCGTAGTCAGGGCTCTCTGCTCCCACATGAGCTCATTGAGGCCCATCTCCCTAAAACATTTCTGCATTTACTCCTTAAATAAACACATTGCATTGCAGGCTGGGGAATGCCACACCATATTCTTCCCTTAAAATGTCAGAAAATGTCTGTGCTTTATAAAAATTCATTCTCATGTTAGCAAGCTTTACCCCTCATTCTCAGGGTGATGAAATCAGTGGAGATGGATGATATTATCCTGAGTTTTTTCTTCTTCTTGTATTTTAATGAGCTTCGTTGCTCTGCTCTCTCAGTTTATTAGAGATCACCCACTGCCGTGAGCCCAGGAGTTCAGCCGCCTTCTGTGGCTACCCAAGGACCCCCATTTCCATGTGATTCTAATCTTGCAATTCTCTTCTTCATTACATTCTTGCCATGCTGGCTTTTGTAAGATTCTAGAAAGCATTTTACAATACACAGGGCAGGAAAGGCATCATTTATAATACATGGTAGTTACTCGTCTTTTATTTATAAATCATTTTGCTTGGAAGGCTTTTATTTCTATGCAGGCAGTGAATCCTCAATTTTGTTTAAACGAATTCACTGCTTCCTCTTTATTCCTACTTTTTTTTTTAACATAACTCCAATATCTTCATAATAAATAATAAAATAATTACTTCTGTCTCGGGTGTCTGCACAACCTCCAAATACATTCTCAGCCTGGGCTCATATGACATTGGCTGTGATGTGGTCAATTAATCTTGGGGGTCTATAGCGTGCTGGTCATTCTGTCCTGATTGTATCCAAACTGACTATGAAGATGACCAAAATAACTGAGTGATCCTGCCCACTTAAGAATGCTTCAATTGCTGGGCACATTTTGGACCTAAAAAAAACAAAGTAATTACTATTTTCAAAGAGCTGGATTTCCAAGGCCTGCTGCCTATCTGTAGATTAAAAGAAAATGGCCCCAGGTCACCGGGTGCTGTAACCGGAGGACACTGGAATTGGAATCTGAGGCCTCCTACATTGACCTTGACCACTTTACTTGGTTTTTCTGAGCCTCAACCCTCAAATATAAAACAGGGGTAATAATAGTACTTAAGGGCTCACATGGTCATGAGGATTCGATGCAGTTATGTTGGAAAATATCAATTTGAAAATGGCACAGCAGTGTGCAATATCATTTCTCTTTTATTATTTACATTGCTTTACAAGCAATTGCGATCTTAACCCTGGCCATCCTTCCATAACACTTTGTCAGGGAAACTTCAGCTTTGTTAATCAAAGAATGAAAGGAAGGGAAGTGGCTGAATCATGCCGACAGATCAGTAAGCCCAGATATTTCTCTCCCTGGGTCCTACCAGGGTATGATTCTTCAACAAATTTTCAAAGCACATTCAAATTTCCCAGGCCAGCACAGAGACAGCAGTGTGTTTGCTGGCTTGCAGATTTCCTGGTGCTTTGCTACTGGCACTGTGGCTCGTTAGTCCAGGGGGCTCCTCCTTCCACCCCAGGATTTAATTCTGGGTGGCTTTCCCGGGCAGGGGTGGGGAGCGTCCGGGGAGGGATGGGCGTCCATGTGGCCCTGGGGACACCTTTCAGGGAAGGAGAGGCCAGAACCCTGATGGCTGCTCTGGCCTGGTTGGGTGTGCAGATCTTGGGGGTGACCCAGAACCTCCCCCTTGCCCCTGCCTCAGGCTGCTTATCTTCTTAAGCTCTCTGTCTTGGCTTTAGAGATTGTGGAGTTTCAGGCAGCCAGCCTCAGACAAGTCACAGCCACACTGGAAAATCAGCCCTCCCGTTCAATTTAGAGTGAAATTTAATGGCATCGATGAACAATTTGCTATAGATTTTTAAATAGACATTATTTTTTAGGCCAGTCTTAGCTTCACGGCAGAATTGATCAGAAAGTAGAGAATTATCGTACTGCTCCCCACTTGCACACACCCTCCAGAGGGCCCACGTGTCGCAATCGATGAACCTACATGGACAAATCATTACCACCCAGAGTCCACAGTTCACACCAGGGCTGACTCTCGGTGCTGGGCATTCTGTGAATTGGACAGATTTCTCACCTCTGCCACTGCAGCACACACAGGGTAGTTTCACCTCCCTGCAAACCCTCTGTGCTGGGCTGATTCATCTCTCGATAATTTGCTATGGGTTTTTTTTTTTAATCCTAAATTTTACCTTTCAATTGGACATTGTTTTTATTGAAACCTGAAGGTAATTTGGTCTCGGTGACTTTGTTCTGTTAATTACTATCAGCAAATGAATTAAAGCTGTGCATTGGAATGTTTAAACATTTTAGTTGAACACAGTGATGCTTTGAAGACACTTGTGGTGCACTGCATAGCAGATATATTCTGATAAAACTTTTTCTGTTGTGGCAGGCAGTTTCTGTTAGTTGGTCAGTGGAATTTAAGAAGCAATTTCCAAGAGTACAGTACCTTGAGTGGGGTGATTTGATATTACATTAAATTCTACTCTCCAGAAACAAAAACAAATGTTGCCAAGCCTCAGATGGCATTTCGAGTCACTAAAGCAGCCAGCTGTGTGAACTCATCTCCGCGGCCTCCCAGCCCTGTCGGGGAGGTGGAAGGGCCTGACCTTGTAATCTTGCAGGAATTGGCTGTCCAGGGAGCTGCTTTCCTCATCGAGACTTTAGGTTTGAAGAAAAACAATACGTAAGCAGTGAGCATTTATCGTACAGGCAACTGTTTCTAGCTGATCTGATTAGGCCTTCCTTATATTACACAAGAACACCCTTCAGATGATGCTCAAGATGATTCTGTTATCCTAGAAGTTTTACCTCCACCTTTTTTTTTCTTTCTCAGCCTGTCTTCAAAGGAATTAAAAGTTCTGATTTATTTCCAGGCCGTTATAAAAAGCTCCCTGAAAAGCAAATACTATTTGTAGTGGTGACAAGCAATTAGCAAAGCATTTAGATTTATTCTGAGGCACTCGTGAAAGTGGTGTTTTATTTTTCTTTTGCAGGAGTTTTAAAAATTCACTTGAAGGTAATGGACTGAGATTGCTTCTGTCCCAAGGACCAGCGGGATCCTGGCGAGGTGTGGGGTTCCAAGTTCCAGTTGCCACAGTATCAAAGTCTTAGCCATCTCCTCATTTCCAGATCTTTTTCTAATAAAAGCACTGTTTAAATGTCTCACTTTGACTTTATTTACTCCCTTAAATTCCTCCAATGTGTAAAATCGATCTCGAATAATAGCTAAAATGTTGAATCACAGCATGGTATTGGGCATCACGGTGACTTTGTATCTTATTGAATATGGCTTCTTATTGAATATAGCTTCTTACTGAATATGGCTTCGTGAGAGTACTTGGGGGAAGATATTATGACCTTCCTTTCAAGGGGAAGAAGGAGCAGTTCAGAATAAATGCAATGATAGCGGAAACTGTCAGGGGAGACTGGGATTCCAGGCCCAGTTTGTGCTGTGCAGGTGCCCAGGTCATTCCTGAGGGTGGCCTCATATCCCATTCCGAGATTGCTTGCTTTCTACTAATGAAATTAATTTCTTCTGATTCCCTTCCAAGTATTCTCCTCCCTCCTCATCTGTACTTTTCTTTAAAACATCACTTGGAATCTTTGATTCTCCGACCATTTAGGATTGAAATAATCTCTCTGTGAGATATTTCCTGCATTTGTTGTCCTGACATTGACTTCATATCAACTTACAATCAATATTAAAATAAAACCCACAATTACAATTTCCAAGTCATCATTTCTTGAGTTAAAAAAATAATCCTGGGCCGGGCATGGCAGCTCATGCCTGTAATCCCAGCACTTTGGGAGGAGGCTGAGGTGGGAAGATCACTTGAGCCGGGAAGATCACTTGAGCCCAGGGGTTTGAGATCAGCCTGGGCAATATAGGGAGAACTCATCTCTTAAAAAAAAAAATTAGCAGGGCATGGCGGTATATGCCTGTGGTCCCAGCTACTCGAGAGGCTGAGGTAGGAGGATCAATGAAGTTGAGGCTGCAGTAAGCTGTAATTGTGCCACCGCTCTCGAGTTTGGATGAGTGAGACTCCATCTCAAAAAAAATATTCCCATGCTCTTTCAAAACTAGTTTTCTTCTAAGGGATCTATTTTTATACACACACACACACACACACACAAGCACAATCTTCTATACATACACATATACCACACACACATATATACATATGCACATACATGCAAACACATGTATAGGTATATAAGGAAATAAACAGGTATAATCAAGCCTTTACCATGTGTCATTTTATTTCCTGTATAATACCATTAACAATTTGATATCATATGTTATCACTTTTTAATATTAAAAATATTGCTCATACCGATATGTAACATAGCATATTATTAATAGCTATATAATATTAATCATTAATTATTAATTTATGATTAATTAACAATTAATGATTAATAAATAATTATTATAACTATGTTAACAACCACCTTTAATAACTATATTCTTATAATAACTATATTATTAATAACAACCATATTATTAATAACTATATTATTAATAACAACCATATTATTAATAACTCTGTTGATGCAGGACATGGTGGTGTGGTCTATCTTGGAGTACACTATGAATAGCCACAGCAGCTGCAGCAGTAACTGACTAAGCACCTCTTCTGTGCCCAGCACTGCACAGAGCCATGGGGAGCATCATCTCAGCTTCATGGCAGCCCTGAACGACCGCAGGAGACTCTTTTACAGGTAAGGAGCAACCGCAGGACACATGGGGTGGTGGAGGGGCAACCCCGTGCCTGGTGCCTCCCACACCATCGGCCCCCTTGGGAGCCTTGTTCGCACTGCAGGGCAGCTTTGATCACCCCACACTCCACACGTTGTGATGTTTCTTGCTTTTCCCACAGAAGGCCTATTTCTTTTTGCAGATGCAAAGATAAGTGTCATAGGTGACTTACTAAAATCCCTGCAAATGTGCTATGGGAAAGTAATCAGATATTCCCAAATATTTAGTGAAGATTTAATTTCTGGTATCTGGCCCTGTTTTCCTCAAGAGCCACTGTAAATTATCATAAGTTCCAATATTTTGGCATCTAATCAACAACTTCTTAATTGCCTCTGATATGAAGAAATGGTATATACATTTTTAATCAATATGTGTTCTGATATTTCATTAATACAGCAAATGTGTAGAATTTGACCTAAGTATTTTCATGGAGGAGAAGATGAATTAGAAATGCAATCATTAAACCATGGCACCACTATAGATGGAAAGCACTGGAGATACTCATATATTTTTAAGATTCAAGAAAGATTTTTACAAAGAATCTTTAATGGCACTGGAGGATGTGTAGCATATAAAATTTAGTCAAAAGGAGATTATTAAATTTATAAGCAGCACAATCTCCAATCTGTTAGAATATGAATATATATATTTTTTATTTTAAAAAGTATAGGAAATACCAAAATGGTAATAGCGATTTACAGCTATTATCTCTGGGCCTGGAGATTTAGAATGATTATTATCTTCTGTTTTATACTTTTGTGCATTTTCAAAATTTTCTACAGTGAGCCTGTGTTTCATTTATAATTAAAGAAAGATGTGTCTAAACTAACAAAGATCACAAAGGTTATTAAGTGAAGTTTTTCCATGTGCATTTTATCAGTAGGAATGTTCTGGAAGGTACTGCGCCCTCAATTAAAGCCCTTTTTATGTCGCTATTTGTACTCATTGCCTCGCAAACCTTCTTTAAGGAAATCACACAGCATACCTGGCTCCAGCCTTATCAAAAATCTCTGCTCTCTTTTTCAATTCTGGTTTAAAACCATTGGGAAGAAAGACACTTGCAGGGAACTTTTTCTGGAGGTGTTTTTTTCACGTTCATTAATTTTCCACTTGCCTCAAATTTTCCTTTGACTTTAGGAAACTTGATTTTTATTGTCCTCTTAGGAGGCGTGAGGGCGTAGGGTTTGAATACCCTAGCATTTTCCCCTGTAGACTCTTATTTAAATTTAGATTATGACCACATGAAAAATTTGTTGGGAAAAGTAATCAGTAGGGCCATATGTTAGAGTTTCAAAAATCACCCTAATTTCCATTTAACTCACATCATAAAAATCACCCTCCCATTCAATCAGACTATTATAAGGTGTTTTAGATGAGTGATGAGCGGATGCCTGCCAAATGCAAGCTAATAAGAAGGCCTTGATCTTCCCAAGAGCTATTCATCTTTGTCTTTCACACATTTCACTCTCTCTGCTCTCTCTCTCTCTCTCTCTCTCATACTGCCCAAAGCAAACCATAAAAAAGAAAGCTCTTAAGAGTCCATAAAAGTGTGAGTAAGACTTTAAATTTTATTTTTATTTACTAGAAATTTATGGAACAGGAGCCGAGGCACCATCATGATTCATCACCCGCATCCCACTTCTGCATTCCATTTCTGCCCACGGCTCTGACACACACATGTTCCGTATGGACCGACTCTTACTCCAGAAAAACTAGAGCTCTGTGGGAGAACAGCGAGCTCTCGGCTGTGTCTGCAATGACCCCCAACCAGTGTGTGTTCTGATGGCTTTCATTTCTACTGCGTACTGCCATAATAGTTAACAATTCCTTATATGATTCACCCAGGTTGGTTAGAGGAAACCTTCGTTGCTGGTTAGATAACAATGAGATGCAATTCATTTAGCTTGCCCAATCATTCATGGATAATCTTAGCATTGCATGCCGGTTCGAATGACCTGTGTGTGGTGTTGCGGTACTTTTGAAGAGATAGCTCATTGCGTGACACTCATGTGTTTGGAAAAGCCATCAGTACTACCACGGATTTGTTTCAACAGCCACGTTACTTTCCATCTTGCTGTTTAGTTTAATGATGCTCACAACACTAAATCTGTTGGGGTGACCAACCTCCTCTCGTAGACATCTGATTTTTTTTTTTCAATTTTTATGCTGGATTCAGGGGGTAATCTGCAGGGTTGTTACATAGATATATTGCATGACACTTAGGTGTGAAGTACGAACGATCCCATCACACAGGTAGTGAGCATAGCAGCCAATTGGTAGTTTTTCAGCCCCTGCCACTCTCGTCCCTCTAGTAGTCCTCACGGTTCTTTGCTCCCCTCTTTGTGTCCGTATTTATCCAACGTTTAGCTCCTACTTGTAAGTGAAAATATGTGATATTTGGTATTCTGTTCCTACGTTAATTGGCTTAGCATGATGGTGTCAACAGAGCCCAGATGTTTGGCCATAGAAATGACATCTAGGAACCACTTAACTTGTGGAATTCGGCTTTCTGGAGAACACAGGGACACACACACACACACACACACACACACACACACACACGCTTTTTTCCCCACTAAGGAGTTTAGTTTTCATTTTTGAGGCAGAAGCTTTCTCTGTCACCCAGGCTTGAGTGCAGAGGTGCAATCATGGCTCACTGCAGCTCTGACCTCCCAGGCTCAAGCAATCCTCCCACCTCAGTCTCCCGAGCAGCTGGAACTACAGCTGTGTGTCTCCATGCCCGGCTAATTTTTGTATTTTTTTGTAGAGACAGGGTTTCACCATGTTGCCTAGGCTGGTCTCGAACTCCTGAGGTCAAGTGATCTGCCCTCCTTGGCCTCCCGAAGTACTGCGATTACAGGTGTGAGCCACCATGCCTGGCCTCCATTATGGAGTTTTTATTCCTTTAATTATTATTTACAGAAAACGTGGGCAATCCTCATTTCAATAAGGTAAAATAAACAACCTGTTTCAGCAGTTTCAATTATTTAAAAGGAGAAATCTTACTGAGTTCTCAAGTAAAAATTTATTACTGAAAAAAGACTCAATTTTAAATAAAGAAAATCCATTTCTAATTCTTTTAAAGCCATTAGAAAATATTTAAAACGTACATAAATAAATTAGGGATTTGTGGAAAATACATACACCCCTCATTTCAAATCTCATTTGCACATATGCTGTTTAGAAACATTAAAAAAAAGGACATGCATGTCCCTCCAGTAAACATTTGCTATGTTCAGAGCTCCCTGTGAAATCGTGGAAGTGTTGCTTTCCTTTTAAGATTGCCAAAATAATGGTGCATTCAGGGAAAGTATGAAGCTTTCTGGGATTTACATGCTATTGCCATCCTTCTGTGGGTTCTGAATAAAATATAAATTAAGATAAAAATAGCCCTGGAACATCTTTCAACCAAATTAGCCCGTTGTGCACAAGCCTACCATGAACACACTTTCAAAACCCTTGGCATGCAGTCCGCTGCCACCTAATGTTTTACTAATATTTAGAAATACTCTCACAGTGGGAGTTTGCAAATTTTCTCCCTAGAACTTGGGTAAACTGTATTAACAAAATTCCAAATCCTATTGCTTTGATGTGGTGAAGGATAGAAGGCAGCTTTGCTATTTGCAGTCATGAATTTGAGAAGAAATAAAGAACATTGGGAGGATCCATGAAGATATCTTAAGAATAATGATTGTTTTGCAAATATATTTATTCTCAGCATAGTATTTTATAGCCACAATATATGCACTGTCTGCACAATGCCCAAATGACACTGTTATGAATAATCTGAGGCAGAAAGAAGAGTATAACACATTCTCATATTCTCATCATCGAATTTCGGCAAATACCAAGATTTTGCTACGTTGCTCCTCTTTCTTTTCCTTTCCTTTCCTTCCCTTCCCTTTCTTTTCTTTTCTCTTCTCTTCTCTTTCCTTTCCTTTTCTTTTCTCTTTTCTCTTCTCTCCCCTCCTCTCCTCTCCTCTCCTCTTCTCTTTTCTTTTTTTTTTTCTCTCTCTCTCTTTCTTTGTCTGTCTTGTCTTGTCTTACTCTGTCACCCAGCCTGGAGTGCAGTGGCATGATCTCAGCTCACTGCAAGCTCGGCCACCCCAGTTCAAGTGATTCTCCTGCCTCAGCCTCCCGAGTAGCTGGGAATACATGCATGTGCCACCATACCCAGCTAACTTTTGTATTTTTAGTAGAGATGGGGTTTCACCATGTTGGCCAGTCTGGTCTTGAACTCTTGACCTCAAGTGATCTTCCTGCCTTGGCCTCCCAAAGTGCTAGGATTACAGGTGCAAGCTACTGTGCCCAGCCTCTTTTTTTCCTTTTCTTATGAGATTATTTTAATGCAATCCTCATTAAATTTCATTTCATCCCTGCACACTTCACCATGCATCTCTAAACAGTATGGATATTCTCTTACTATGGCATTACCAAATGTAACACAATTAAGGGTATGCTTTTTGGTATTATCTAATGTCCAATCTACAATAAAATTTCCCCAGTTGTCTCAGCAACATCTTTTTGCAGTTGATTTCTTTGAGTTAGGATCTAAATAAGGTCCATGCATAGGGAAGAGTTCTAGATGACCCTCAGTTTTCTGTATGTCCCCTCACTTCTGCCTTTTTATCCCTGCCATTGACTTGACGAATGTCTCCTGTGATGGTGAATTTTATGTGTCAATTTGGCTGGACCAGGGTGTTCAGATGTTTGATCAGGTACTGTTCTGGATGTTTCTATAAGGTGTTTTGGGATGAAGTTAACATTTAAATTGGTGAACTTCAAAGAATGTAGATTGTCCTCTCTAATGTGGGTGGGCTCATCCAATCAGCTGAAGGCCTGAATAGAGCAGAAGACTGGCCTCCCCTCAGAGAAGGAATCTGTCAGCAGGCAGCCCTCAGACGTCCTCTGCAGCCCCAGTTCTTCCCTGGGTCTCCAGCCTGCTGGCTGCCCTGCAGGTTTTGGATTTATCAGCCTCCATAACTGTGTGAGCAGAGACTGCTGAGTGTTCAAATAAGGCAAGCACCAACCTGTAACCAAAATTCAGCTGTTCTGTACCTCACTGCCGATTCCTGTACGTCACTTTACCTTTTTTGTCTACAAATTTGTTACGACCATGAGGCATCCCAGGAGTCTCTCTGAACCTGCTGTGATTCTGGGGGCTGCCCGATTCATGAATTGTTCATTGCTCAATTAAACTCCTTTAAATTTAATTTGGCTGAAGTTTTTCTTTTACCAGGATGGATCAAACCAAGTGCAGACTGCATTTGGACATCAAGATGGAATCACATCTCAGCCACTTCCCAGGCAATTTGTCCTTAAGAATTTGTGGAGTTGTTGAACCAGTTTAAATTCTACACTTGGTGGATTATCTTTAATTACACATGCATTGTGCTAAATTCCCAGATGGAAGCAATGCCACCTTTTAAGGTAGCATACTGATTTTGCCCAGAGTGAACATTTCTGTTTACTTCTATAAACCAAAAAGTATCTGAGACAGATCTCAATCAATTTAGAGATTTATTTTGGCAAGTTTCAGGACCATGGCCAGTTACACAGCCTCGGGAGGTCCTGAGAACATGTGTCCAAGGTGGTTGGGTTACAGATTATACATTTTTGGGAGAAGGAAGTTACAGGCAAAGGCATACATCAATACATAGAAGGTACACGTTGATTCGGCCCCTGAAAGGCAGGACGTCTTGAAGCAGGAGGGGGCTTCCTGGTCATAGGTGGATTCTGATTTCCTGATTGGCAGTTGGTTGAAAGTGTTAAGCTCTGCCTTAAGAGTTGAAGGCAGCTTGAGTTAAGGTAAGAAGAGAGGTGTGGGAGCCAAGGTTCTTGTCATGCAGATGAAGACTCCAGGTAGCAGGCTTCAGAGACAATAGATTTGAATATCTCTCATCAGAACTTAAAAGGCACCAGATTCTTGGTTAACCTCTTTTGGATCAGGAAAATACCTGGAAAGGGAAGGGGGTTCTCTGCAGGATGTAAATTTCCTCCACAAGAGATGACCTTGTAGGGTCATTTCAAAATATGTCAAATAACTATATTTTAGGATAAAATACTTTTATTTCTTCAGGGCTGGCTACCTGTCATGTTGGTATCTTATTGCTATAAAGAGTCTGTTCTGTCAGTCTTAGGATCTCTATGTTAATGTCAGTACTGTTCATTGTACCTGAACTCCAAAAGGAAGAGGTATAACAAGGCCTGTCCCACTGCCTCTTCCCATCAGGGCCTGAATGAGTTTTTCAGGTTTACTTTGGAGTCCCTGAGATGGGAGTTCATTCAGTCAGTTGGGAGGCTTAGAATTTTAATTTTGGTCTACACTTCCCACTTGGGCAGGAGGCTGTTCATGTTAACACTCTGTATTCAGGATTTTGTCTCTAACTGAAAACTGGTTCCAACACAGGTGTTCCCAACGCCTCCCATGCCTCACTTTCCTGCTCTGTGGCTTGCTGCTTAGCTATTCTCTCGTGCAAGGCCACCATCTCTCCTTTGCCTATGCTTATCACCCTATGCCAATGTCACCACGGGCATAACCACTGACTAAGTGGAATATGCCCTTCCGCAGTGGAGGCCTGAGATTTAGAACCAGGCCATTATTATCCAGAGAGAGAATTGGAGTTGACAAAGCTATGCTGCTGCAAAGGAACTGAGAGGGGTCACTCAGCCTCTGAGGTGGGGACATGGGAGGGCTGCATGCATCCAGGCCTTTGCTGGCTGCTGACGGAAGCCCTTAATCTCTCAGCGGTGGCCTCACTGCTGTCTAATTTTGGATGAGAAAGGCATAGTATCTTGTGACGTGTGTGAACATTTGACTTGCTGTAAGTCATGGTCAAGAATCAGAGCCTAGGAGGAAGAAGCCCCAAACCCACTAAGTGATGACAGCAGCTGTGGCTGCTGTCCTGTCCCCACCCCACCAGGTGTGTGGCCAGGTGTGCGGCCAGGTGTGTGGCCAGGTGTGTGGTGATGTGTGCTCTCAGCAGCAGGCCCAGGAGATGGAGGGTGGGCAGTTACCTTGCAAAAGTTTTGAGAGAACTACTACTCGTGCCTGTCTGTAAGCCATGGACACAAAGAGATAACTTTATGCCCTGAAAAGAACTGAATGCCTGCTCAGGTAATCACCTTACAAAATTTTCACATAGTGACCCTATAGTAATGCCTAAAAGTGGGCATTTGCTCACTTCATACACTACATTGTGTCTCAGGAGTGAGGAGCCTGCCCATCCAGAGGCCTGAGGACAACCGCCTTTCCCATGAGAAAGTGGACGGAGGGAACCGGGATGGTCCCTGGACTGTTGATTTGGAATCAGAGGGTCTTCCCCATGCTGGATTCTCATCCTAACCCCAGCCATCAGGGGAGCCCTGCCCACGGCTGAGGCCCTGCCTCCCTCTGGTGAGGGGTGGTGGACATGGAAGACTTCTTGGTTCACTGGTGGAGATGGAAGATCGAGGCTGCTTCCATTGGGTTCCATCAAGGATGGATGTGCATCACTCAGGCTGCCAGACATGTGGGAGGAACTCTGTCCCCAAAAGATATGTCTATCTGGAAACTCAGAAGGTGCCCTCATTTGGGAGAAGGGCCTGTGCAGATGCAACTAAGGCATAAGGATCTCAAGACGAGATCATCCTGGATTAGGGTGGGCCCTAAATCTAATGTTAGGCTTCCTTAAAAGAGACAGAAAAGGAGAAGACAGAGAGAAACAGAGGGGAGAAGGCCACATTGGGATAGAGACAGAGTTTGGGGTGATGGGTATGCAAGCCAAGGCCAGGATTCTCCCCAGAGCTTCCAGAAGGAACTGACCCTGAGGATGCCTTGACCTCAGACTCTGGCCTCTAGGACTGTGGAGTATAAATTGCTGTTATTTTAAGCCCCTCAGTTCATTACACCAGCCCTATGGAGATAAACACAGCAGCTTGAACTAATGCCCTTCCTAGCCCTTAGCTAACGTGTCCCAGATTAGTCAGCATCTTTTTCCTTCATTAATTTATAAAGCATTAGACTCAAGAAATATTCCAGAAAACACTCTCTTTTACTCATGGGTCATAGAGTGTAAAATTACACCATTAGAGATTCATTCCTTAGGTTTGAAAGCCTTTAATTCTGTCTGGGAGGGATAGCGCACCAAGTTTCCAACACTGTAGGGAGAATTAGGTTAAGCTTTAGTCACTGGTAAGAGGGTCTTGTGTTATGTGGGAACTTGTGGTGCACAGGGACATTAGAACCAGAGGGTAGGACATGGTAGGTAGTGACCCTTGCAGGAGGCCATCCTCTGCAGGCCTCCAGAACTCCCACATGTCTTGCTGTCTGTGCCAAGACACTGAGGCCCCAAGCTCTCTGCTATCCAGCCCATTTCTCAGCACCGTTTATGCAGCTTGTCATCTTGACGGGTGAGGTCATCACTCTTGCCTCCCCACGACGGCAGCAGGCTTGCTTACTGCTTGCTACAAAAACAGTGGGTTCCCACTTCTACACTGCTGGTGGGAATGTAAACTAGTACAACCACTATGGAAGACAGTGTGGAGATTCCTTAAAGAACTAAAAGCAGAATGACAATTTGATCCAGTAATCCCACTACTGGGTATCTACCCAGAGGAAAAGAAGTCATTATACAAAAAGTTTACCTGCACATGCGTGCTTTTAGCAGCACAATTCACAACTGCAAAAATGTCAAATCAACCCAAGTGCCCACCAATCAACCAGTGGATTAAGAAACTGGTATATTTACATGATGGAACACTATATAGCCATACAAATGAATGAATTAATGGCATTTGCAGCTACCTGGATGAGATTGAAGACTGTTTTAAGTGTGCATGCATCTGTGTTTACTAAACCTCTCTAGTGACCCTGGGAGGCAGGGATTGATGTGGGAACCCGGGAATACAGGCTAAGCCACTCACCAGGTCCACAGAGCAGGAAGTGGCTCATGAGACATGAGGTCGAGAGGCTGGCCCTCCAATCTCTGCTCTTCTAAGAGTCTAAGATGGAACTCAGAGGAAATGAGGTGGTTTCTGCCTCCACTTCCTCCTCACTTATTTCCTATTACTGCTTTGAGATTTGAAGGATGATGGGGTAAAAGAGAGGCTCAGAGAGAGAGGGAGAGAGGGAGAGAGAAGAGAGGCGTGAACAGCAGGAGCAGATCCTGACAGCTCAGCTCCTTGGTGGGGGCTTCAGAGAGAACAGGGGCATTGGTTTGTGCACTGAAAAGTCCAGTTGTCATCTGGGACTTGGACGTTCATGTCCCCGAGGACGGTGATGGTATTGTGCAGAGCTGTCCTGCACCTGAGGCAGCAGCAGGGAGAATGTGTGCCCCTGTGTGCCTCATCTCTCAGCTTTCTGTGGCTCATTCATCTCTCAGTTATCTGTGGCTCAAGCAGATAAACAAATGTTGAAAATTAAAAAGTAGGAGTACTAAAGCTCATAATCTTACTTTAAATGGAAATATTTTACCTATACTTAAATCAGAATTTATTATAATTTTACCTATTGGCTTTAAACAATGCAAAGCCATCAGTAATCTTTTTAAAAGTTCTTTCCATCTTTCCGTCATTTTCAACTGAGTGTTGTAAATGAAATCAAATAAGAGAAAGAGTATGTGAGATAGATTTAAAATGTTAGCAAAAGGTAGGAATATTCTTCCTGAATTTGAAAATGAATGAAAAGGAAAGGTAAAAAATTAGAAATGTATGAATCACCACACAAGAGTGTCAATTCTTCTGGAAAAAGGGAAATCAAATAGAAATTTAGATTATAGATGCCTTAATTTAACATTTGAGGTGGAGAAACGCAAAATTAAAAAACTGTCTTCAGATTTTGAATTTTTACTAAAGAAAGTTATTCTGCATGAATACATTTGATTTTCAAAAAGCAGCCACTGACTCAACCCTAAAACATTCTGATGATTTAAGTTCTGGACAGATTTCCTCTTAAATAGGTGATTTTGAGAAGCCTGTTATGTCAAGAGTTTGTAATATAAAATCAGCATCATGTTGATATCTTTTTAAAATTCTATTAGGTGTCGGGGTGGTGAGTATGTTTTTATTATTATTATTTATTTTTCTTTAAGTTCTGGGATACGTGTGCAGAACTTGCAGGTTTGTTACATAGGTATACATGTGGTATGGTGGTTTGCTGCACCTATAACCTGTCATCTAGGTTTTAAGCTCCGCATGCATTACGTATTTGTCCTAATGCTCTCCCTCCGTTTGCCCCCCATCCCCTGACAGGTCCCAGTGTGTGATGTTCCCCTCCCTGTGTCCATGTGTTCTCATTGTTCAATTCCCACTTATGAGTGAGAACATATGGCATTTGGTTTTCTGTTCCTGTGTTAGTTTGCTGAGAATGATGGCTTCTAGCCTCATCCATGTTTTTGCAAAGGACATTAATTCATTCTTTTTTATGGCTGCATAGTATTCCATGGTGTACTATAAAGACATATGCACATGTGTGTTTACTGCAGCACTATTTACTATAGCAAAGACTTGGAACAAACCCAAATGCCCATCAATGATAGACTGGATAAAGAAAATGTGGTACATATACACTATGGATATCTTCTAAAAGTCATTGTGAGTTTTGCTTAGTAAAATTTTATCTCAGTTTGGAAGAGGTCTTGGGAATTTTTAACAATATAAGTCACAGTAGTATCCTGTAAAAGGAGTTTTGGGGCTGGGAAACTAAAATTATAATACATTTTGTTCTTGGTATAAATACAATACTTAAAATAATGCTGTGAGTTTTAACACATCCACTTTTAAATTATTTTCCATATTTTTTTTTTTTGAGATGGAGTTTTGCTCTTGTTGCCCAGGCTGGAGTGTAATGGCGTGATCTCGGCTCACTGCAACCTCCGCCTCTCAGGTTCTAGCGATTCTCCTACCTCAGCCTCTCGAGTAGCTGGGGTTGCAGGCATGCGCCACCATGCCCAGCTAATTTTGTATTTTTAGTAGAGACAGGGTTTCTCCATGTTGGCCAGGCTGGTCTTGAACTCTAGACCTCAGGTGTTCCCCTCTCCTCGGCCTCCCAAAGTACTGGGATTACAGGCGTGAGCCACTGCTCCCGGCCCTGTTTTCCATATTTTCAACTAGTCCTGGATAAAAATCAACTATTAAAGAAATTCATAAAAACATGCATATGGGGCTGGGGGACACATCTCGCCTGCCTCAGGCTCTGAACTGACTGAGCACAACCCCGTCTGATCCAGTCTTTATGGCAAATTTTGATATTTTGTTTATTGTGGACTATTTTTTGCACTCATTTTGATTTTTAAAAAATATTGCATGAAACAGGATTCTTCTTGATGGCTGAGGCCCCAGAACAACTTTTTTCACCCTGAACTCGACCCCTGTAGGGGCCATTCTGCATGTCTGTCACCAGGCCGCCCCTGTGTGGGCACATTTTTTGGCCCAACTGTGTCCCCAGCTCCTCCTTCCCAGAAGCTGAGGCTTCTGAAATCGCAATGTGAGACGTCACAAAAGGTCTCTACCTAAACCCCTGATGGACACCGACCTCTGGGAAGAACAGTTTTGTCTTGACCAGTTAAGATATCCGTTTTGAAATGTTTCAAATATTGGGGAATGTTGAGTATTTGAGGAATTAGGAGATTATCCAGCTGGAATAAGGTTCACATGGGTTCTGGCCTTTTCTTCCCCGTTTTTATAGTTCCTTTTCTTTAGCATTCGTGATGTTAAAAAACAGGCCGAAAGCCCCACTGGTCACATTGCAGGGAGTCCACCTCTTTCTACAAACACTTCTCAGTCTCAACGTTTTCTAGAAGAGCAGATGAAGCTTGTGTGCTCAGAAATAAAGCATTAGAAGCAGCGTTCACAAGAGGCTGTCTCCTTAGGCAGTGGTGAGGGGGTGCAGGTCTCATCTCTTCTTCCAAGGATATGGAAACTTCCTGACGGGCAAATGCAAGAGATCAAGTCAGTGTCAGTAACCTGCCCTGGGCCTTTCTTGGTTTTATAAGGCTAACAGACTTATTATAAACTGTGTTGAACAAGGCAAGGTAGAAGTTTGCCTAGTGGCTGAAAGATAGAAATTGTTAAACCCAGTATAGAATGGAAGACATTTCACGATCCCTTGAATTTCTTCTTCACCCTTCACACCTGACATGAGGCATTCTAGCTTGTGGATTCACTAGGGAATAATTTGGCCTTTGCCCCGTGGAAGACGCACTTGCCTCTGGGGGGCTGCCTTTCCTATTTCTCTTTGTGAAGTTGTCCCTCATTTACCTTGAGCTGAGAGCCTTGTGTTCTTTAGCTTTCTGGTAGATAATGTTAAATATTAACAGGGTCTTGCTCTGTCACCCAGGTTGGAGTGCAGGGATGCAATCATGGCTCACTGCAGCCTTGACCTCTTGGGCTCAAGTGATCCTCCTATCTCAGCCTCCCAAATAGCTGGGACCACAGATATGTGCCACTACACCAAGCTAACCTTTTCATTTTTTGTAGAGATGAGGTCTCACTTTGTTGCCCAGACTGGTCTCAAACTGCTGAGCTCAAGTGATTCTTCTATCTTGGCCTCCCAAAGTGCTGAGATTACAGGCATGAGCCACCCTGCCCAGCCTGTGAATAGCGTAAAATTAGAAAAATATGAAGATGAGCAACAACCACAACTGTTTTCAGGATCTTAGTTCAGTAACATTCTCTTAAGAAAACCAATGTTCTGTTGCTAGTAAAAACAAATAACAACAAGAAAGATACAGCTTCTCTAAGTTTGTCTGGAAAGGCACAGATATTGCATAGGCAATTTACCCCAAATTAAGAAGACACACAGAACACACAGTATGAGATTTCGGCATAACTTTATGCCATTTTCTCTTCTTTATTGTGTTTATTGAAAGATGCTCTTATTCCAAGTTTCTGGAATCTAGTTTAGGATAATTATTTTCTTTCTCACCTATAATCTGCCAACCATTTTCTGTAGAGAAAAACCTGGACTCCCATGTGTAAGAAGACAGGCCAGATAGATTTTATTTTATTTTAAAAAATATTTATTTATTTAGAGTCAGGGTCTCACTCACTCACCTAGGCTGGAGTGCAGTGGCGCCATCATGGCTTACCGCAGCATCAACCTCCTGGACTCAAGGGGTCTTCCCACCTCATTCTCCTGAGTAGCTGAGACTGCAGGTGCGTGCCACCATGCCCAACTAATTTTTGTATTTTTTGTAAAAATGGGTGTATAAATCTGTTCTCACACTGCTATGAAGAAAATACCTGACACTGGGTAATTTTTAAAGAAAAGATTTAATTGACTCAAAGTTCTGTATGGCTGGGCAGGCCTCAGGGAACTTACAATCATGGTGGAAGGCAACTCTTCACAAGGCAGCAGGAGAGAGAATGAGTGCAAGCAGGGGAAATGCCAGATGCTTATAGAACCATCAGATCTCATGAGACTCACTCATTATGAGAACAGCATAGGGGAAATTACCCTTATGATTAAATTACCTCCACCTAGACTGACCTTGACATGTAGGGATTATTACAATTCAAGGTGAGATTTGGGTGGAGACACAGAGCCAAACTATATCAATGTGCCATGTTGCCCAGGCTGGTCTTCAACTCCTGAGCTCAAGAAATCCGCCCCGCCTTGGTCTCTCAAAGTGCTGGGATTACAAGGTGTGAGCCACCATGCCCAACTGCCTGATAGATTTTAAATGCACAAATAAAGGTGATGATGGAAAGAATCTTTAGAGGAATAGGGAAAAGTCTGCAAAACAGTCACTGTCAAAAAATGAGAGGCCTTGTTTATTCACATAGACTGTGATATGGTTTTGTTGTGTCCCCACGCAAATCTCATCTTGAATTATAGTTCTCATAATCCCTATGTGTCGTGGGAGGGACCAGGTGGAGATAATTGAATCATGAGGGTGGTTTCCCCCATCCTGTTCTCATGATGTGAATTAGTTCTCATGAGATCTGATGGTTTTATAAGGGGCTTCCCCCTTTGCTGGGCACTCATTCTTTTCTTTCCTGATGCCATGTGAAGAAGGAAGTGCTTGCTTCTCCTTCTGCCATGATTGTAAGTTTCCTGAGGTCTCTCCAGCCTTGCAGAATTGTGAGTCAATCAAACCTCTTTTTAAAATAAATTACCCAGTCTTGGGTATGTCTTTATTAGTAGCATGAGAACACATGAATACAGACTGTCTTAAATAGTGCTTTCTGGTGATTGTTTTCCTTTAGCAGCAAATCTGCCTAACACAGCAGCACAAATATGCTAGTTATAACCACATCTCATTAACGTTTAAGGCATGAGGTTTAGGGATAAGCTGTATTTCCTCATTAGACAGAAGCTCCTTTTTATTTCTACTTAAGTTGTGAAAGTTTCTAAAAATGATTCAGTTCACTGTGAACCTGCTGAACTTTGTTGTTATTGTTATAATTTTAATGAAAGTCTGACCTCATTTCTCATTGTCTGGTAGAAATGTAGGAGATTGACCAAGAAGGATTCATGCTGTTAGTCTAGATGTTTAAAAATATGATTCCTTTTTTATAGCCATTTGCTTTTTTCTCCTAAAGGAGAAGTGCAGAAAAATCACAACTAATAAATGATTCTGGTCCAGAGTGTTTTTTACACTGTAGAGCTATGTGACTTTTTTCTTCTTTTCTCATTTAGCTGATGTTGGTATGGTGTCTAATAGTTTGCAAAGCATCTTCATATATATTCCATTTGATTGATCCTCACAGGAAGCCTATGGGGCAGACAAAGGATGTAGTGGCACTTTTGACCAATCCTCAGAGGTATTAAATAATGTGCCTGAGATCACACAGCTAATATGTGGTTATGACTGAATGTATATATCACCCCCAAGTCATACATTGAAACCCTCCCCTCCCCTCACCATGTGGCTGTATTTGGAGTAGAAGGGTAATTAAGGTTAATAAGGTCATAGATTGGGATCCTAATCTAATGGCATTCATGCCCTTATAAGAACACATCAAAGAGAGTTCTCTGGCTCTCTCTGCCCCATGTAAGGATACAGTGAGAAGACAGCCACCTGCAAACCAAGAAGAGAGTCCTCACCGAACACTGACTGTGCCACCACCTGACCTTGAAATTCCAGCCCCCAGGACTGAAAAATCAATGTTTGTTTTATTAATAAAACACCTTCTTTGTGGTATTTCCTATGGAAGCTTGAGCAGGCTAAGAGATTTTGGTGCTGAGGGGCAGGGGTGCTGCTGTAACAAATACCTAAAAATGTGGAAGTGGCCTTGAACCTGGGTAATAGGTAAAAAGGCTAGATGGCTGTGAAGTGCTTGTTGGTAGAAATATGGTTGTTCAAGGTGACTCTGGGGAAGGCTCAGAGAGGAAAGGGGAGAGCTGGAGAGAAAGCTTCTAGTATCTTAGAGCATGCAGGTATCATAGAATGTTATGGAGAAGCTGGTTTTGAAAAGAACACACAGGGTTTGCCTGAATATCCACTTGATAAGGAGATGAGTGTGGGTGGGAACCATGGCTGTAATCACCCACCTCAGAAGGATCCAGGAATAGAGACTGGATTACTTCCAGAGACCCTGTCAGCTTGAACCAGAGGGGACACAGTGGGGACAAAATAAAGGAAGGAATCAGACTGCTGAGATTCCACAGGATGTGACCACAGAGCTATTCTGCTGCATGTGTGTTTTATCTTTCAGAAAAATGGAAGCATCACCCTGATGGTGATTCAGAGATAATCAGGTCTGCCTCCTTGGTTTCTGTTTTAATGGGCCAGAACTCCACGGGTCAGAAAGTGGGGAGTGGGGCCACCCAGTAGAGCCCTGGGGTGAAGCTGCCACCCCCTTGGGCTGGAAGGAGGAACATTAGCCAAACAAAGTGTTTCTCAAGCCTTAAGCTTGAATAAAATTTGCCTTACTAGATTTTGGGCTTGCCTGGAACCAGCTGCCCCTTTCTTCTTTCCTGTTTCTCTCTTTCAGAATGAGAATGTGTATCCCTACTATTGTTTTGGAATGAGAATGTGTATCCCTACTATTGTACTTTGGAAGGGCATATTTGTCCAGTTTTAATGGTTCACAGCTGTAGAAGAAGTGTAGCTCAGGATGAATTGTGACTTGAACCTCACCTGTGTCAGATTCAGATGACATTGAGATGAGACTCTAGACTTTAAGCTTCAGCACTGATGCTGGAATGAGTGAAGATGTTTGGGGATGTTGGGCTGGAATGAACGTAGTTTGCATGCTAGGGGGTCAAGAGTTTTTGGAGGTCGTAAATTTTTAGGTGGAATTTTATCAACTGAATGTTTGTGTCACCCCAACATTTACATGTCAAGGTCTTAACATCCAATATGGCTGTATTTGGAGATGGGGTCTTTTTAGAAGTAATTTAGGTTATATGTGGTCATGAGGATGGGACCCTAATCAGATAGAGCTGGTGTCCTTATTGCAAGAGACATGGGAGGCCTAAGCTCTAGCTCCTTTCTCTCTGCCATGTGAGGACACAGGGAGAAGGGGTTGTTTGCAAGTCAGGACAACTGCTGGCACCTTGATCTTGAACTTCTAGTATCTGGAATGATGACAAATAAATGTCTGCTGTTGAAACTACCCAGTTCATGGTATTTTGTCATAGCAGCCTGAGCTGACTCATACACATGGTAATGTAGTTGATATGTGGCCTCCTAATAGGATACAGATTCCAGTACACAAGTCCACTTTTAGTGTGTTTCTATGAAAATATAAACAGATGATGTATTCTTGATCTCAAGATCTATAAACCTCTACCAGATTCACTCCGAGAGAGTTAAGTAGATATTTATACCAGGACCTAGCATCGACATCAGTGATCCTAAGAGGAGCTGAGGCATCACTACTGAGTCTTGACTCAAGCCAGGCTTGAGTTTGAGTGATGATTTTACTACTTGCTAGAGGCATGGCCTTGGTGAAGCTGCTTACCTTCTTCACACCTCACCTATTCCATTGCTAATCAAAATAACAGATAAGGCAGAAGGACACTGAGTATTTACAGCTTGCATGGGGACAGCTGCATGGTGAGCACATAGAAAACATTAGTTACTGGGAGGAATTCCATCACAACTATGAATTGCCACCAACAACACCGCAGCGTACCTGCCATAGTTGGCCATGGCAATGACAGAAAAGGGAAATGTGAAGTGGCTTGAATACATCTTTGGCTGTGAGTTATTAATTTGTATCTGGTTTTGTTCTGCTTGTAGAGAAAGACTGGGGAGAGCATGGAAATTAAGCACAGCAGCCTGTGACCAGGCGAAGAGGCGGGGATGGGTGCTGATGAGGACTGAGGGCCATCACCTGGCTTTCCCTGCTGGGATGTGTCAAAGACCCCCTCTTCTTGTGGGGATGCCTCAAGGACCCCCTCTCCCTGCCGGGGTGCATTGAAGACCCCCTCTCCCTTCCGGGATGCGTCGAGTACCCCCTCTCCCTGCCAGGATGAATCGAAAACCCCCTCTTCCTGCTGGGATGCGTCAAGGAGCCCCTCTCCCTATGGGGATGTGTCAAGGACCCCCTTCCCTGTGGGATGCATCGAGGACCCCCCCTCCCTGTGGGGATGTGTTGAGGACCCCCTCTCTCTGCCAGGATGCCTTGAAGACTGGCTCAGGCTGCTGTATCCTCCCACCTTTCTCTTACTTTCTGTGCAAAATACAACGCTCATGAGAACCTGAAAGGGGAAACAGCAAAATCCAAAAATCTTCTTTCTGGGACAGGATGAAGATAGCTCTTTTCACTGAGGATTTTAGATTTTAAAAAATCTCTCTGCATGCTGGCCGACTTAAAAATGTAAATCTTCTACTGACTCCATTCTCTAGTATTAAGGAATTAAACCCAACAGAGTTCTCAAATGCTTCTTAGCTAGAGATAAGAAAGAGAAAGAACTTGGCTAGTTTCATTTAGGTGAGAGTAAGTCATCATATTTCAGCTCTGTTTCCCTAATAATTAAGCCTAAAGACATAGCTAGACTAAATTGCTATTTATTTATTTCTTTATTTTTATTATACTTTTGTGGCGATTCCTCAAGGATCTAGAACTAGAAATACCATTTGATCCAGCCATCCCATTACTGGGTATATACCCAAAGGATTATAAATCATGCTGCTATAAAGAGACATGCACACATATGTTTATAGCTAGAGTAAATTTTTAAAAGAATCTTTTTCAAAGTACTTACAATGTATGGAAAAATGCATGTCTCAGTAAAGATAAATATATCAATGTTGTAAATATTACTAATAAAAAATTCTAACAGCAAGGCATCCTTGCTGTTTAAATCAGGGTTAGGGTTAGGGTTAAATATCGGTTCCAAGTTACCCCAGTGTGGGCAGGAGCAGGGGAAGCTGTCCACACGTGTGGTGTCCCCTTCTGAAGCTCTTGGCGAGCCCAGTGTGGGTTTCCAGTGAGGGTTCACACCTGCGCACACGCGTGACCTGCAGATGAGACCGACTCCTTTACTAGAAAATTTCAGGTATTATGTTCACATCTTGTTTTCTTTTTAAGCTTGGATTATTAGACTCTGTCTATATCCATGATCAGAGGATGGTTCTAAATGCTTCCTCCAAACCCAGCAGTGGCTCAGTCATAATGAAAGCTTCTGTATTTTCCAGCCTCTGCTGCTCTTTCTGACAGACCGCAGACCTTGAGTCGTGTCAAGTATAATATCAGCTGTCAGGATAGTGGCACATTTTCTCTATTAGAGGCAAACTTAGAGTCACATTTTCATCAGCCTGCTTTTGGCTCGTGATTATTAGGCAGACAGTCTAATTGATCTACGTCCCCAGCAGCCTTCTATGTGGAAGGAGTCAGAACTGCAAAGTCACATTGGTGACTGGCTGTCGCAGGTGGGGTTCTTCTGAAGCAGATGCTGAGTTTGGGACCAACACCCATGGGAGGCCGGTGGGAAGAGGAGGGCAGAGAGGAAGGGTGACGAGGCCTCACCAAGGCTTAGCTCATCCCTGGGGAGGCTTGGGGGATGCTGTGCGCCAGAGCTTCCTCCGTGTGACTGGGATGTTCATAACCTTGTGTGGGCTCCCCAGACACCCCCATCCTGTGGGAGCTCATCGCTGGAGGCTCCCGCCAACCTCACTCTGCAGCTGGGCACAGTCCTTTCTGAAGGGCGCATGGGAGGCACATCTCCACGTCAATCACACGGGCAAACATGGCGCCCCTGTCCAGCCAGACAGTGGTTCCCATCACTCACGACAGAGCCTGCCTGAAGAGCAGGACACCAACTGAACCACTGTGGGGACTGCTAACCTTCCTCCTAGCCCAGGACTCAGCCTCCGGCCAGACAGCCCAGGCGATAAGAGGGACAGGCAGGTAATCAGCTGAATCGATTCTCCTCTCAGGATGCCTGCTGTCCTTTTAGGGGTCTCCTGAAGGTAATGAGGGAGCTGGAGAAATGCTACAGTCCCAGAGCTGCTGCTGCTGCCATGGACCCACGTCAGGGTGAGGTTCTGTGGCTCACAACCCTGTCCTGCCTCAGATCAGAGCCCAGAGGCACCACGTCCCCTGCCCCTGGCATGGCTGACCTTGGTGGAGGTGAAAATGCTGAAGTGATGAGTAAATCATACAGGAAGCCGGGGAGGAGGAGGGCCAAGCATATGGGGGTTCCATCAATGGAAAGGTGAAATGAGGAGCCACTTGGTCTTCCTGCTGGCGTATTTGTGTCTAATTTTTAGAGAAAAAGGATCATATGTTTGCTGAGCATCTCCACTTGTGTTTCTTTCTCGACACCTTACACAGTCTCATTGGATCTTGACAAAAAGTGAAATGAGGGAATCTGCTCAGGTCTGCAAGGACAGGAAGTGACAGGGCCGTGGCTTGAACCCTCGCTCTGCCGAGTGCTGGTCGCTGGGTCTTCTCCTGACACTGCATCCTGTAGCAGGTGGGAGTGCCTGGAAAGGCTCCAGGTGCACGGATGGATGAGGTGGCTTCCGGGTGGCTTTGCCCCCGTCTGGGCATCCACACGTGCCGAGCCACCGGGGCTTTCTCCTCCTTTGTCTACGTGGCCACTTTGATCGCACGTGGGGCAATTTTCTTTTACTCTCATGATGAACAAAAGCTTGTTTATGTGTCATTTTCTTCTCACTCTTTTGCTTCTCGAGCGACTCGGGGAGCTTTGAGCGTGCTGACGGCAGTAGGTGCAATCAGAGTCACAATTAGACAGTGATTCACATTATGTAAAAGATTCATCACGCCAGTGGATGCAAAATGACTCACCGGCTGCCTGGCAGTGATTGCTGCACATGTCAGCCTCACTGGCTGGGCTGCAGTCACGGTCAGGCAATGCCCTTCCAGGGCGTCGTTATGGGCAATCTCACAAGGTGTGTGTGAGCGCACGCGTGTGTTGTGATGGAATTCCAATTCCTCCGTGTCCTGGTATCAGTGGGAAATTGCCCGTCTGCCTCCTTCCTTGATTTGATTTGAGAGTCCCAGCCCATTTTAACCCATGCCTATGGGATACATCTGGATGCGCACCTGGCCGTAACAGTCAACTCATTCCCAGACGGGCTGCCAGCTCGGACCTGCTTTTGCCTCTGTCCTCCCTACCCCATTAGACAGGACCGCCTGGCATCGCTCCCCGTGGGGCCGAGTCCCAGGTTGATGAGCTGTGCCTGCCTCAGAGGAGAAAGTTCTGGCCCTGGTGCTGCACAAATAGCTTTATAACTTGCTATTAAAAATATACAGGACAAACAATCATTTATAGATTCCAGCAGGAGAGCGACATTCTCATTGCAGAGATTGAGCATGTGCAACTGCGTTTGCTATAAACTCAGCAGCTGTGCTTCAGGACTTTTGAGAGTTTTCTTTCTTTGTTTCCCTCCCTCTCTCCCTCCCTCCCTCCTTCCTCCTTGCTTTCTTGCTTCTTCCTTCCTTCCTTTCTTTCTTTTCTTTCTCTTTCCTTTTCTTTCTTCCTTTCTTTCCTTTCTTTCTTTCTTTCCTTCCTTCCTTCCTTCCTTCCTTCCTTCCTTCCTTCCTTCCTTCCTTTCTTTCTTTAATTTCTTTCTTTCTTTCTTTTTCTTTCTTCCTTTCTTTCCTTTCCTTCCTTCCTTCCTTCCTTCCTTCCTTTCTTTCTTTCTTTCTTTTCTTTCTTTCTTTCTTTCTTTCTTCTCTTTCTTTCTTTCTTTCTTTCTTTCTTTCTTTCTTTCTTTCTTTCTTTCTTGCTTTCTTTCTTTCCTTCTTTCTTTTTTTTTTTCAATACAGCCCCAAATTCTTAATTTTAGAGACTGGAGTTCTATTCTTGTTACTTCAGAGAAAGCAGCAAACTCAGTTGCTTACTAGCATGAAAAAGGAATTTATTTTCATCAGAGAAAAGCTCTCTGCCTACTGGCTAGACAAGTTAGGAATCCTAGGCGAGGCCGTGTTGAGTTTCACAGCTTGAAAGGAGAATTAAAGGTGGAAAATCCACCTTCAAAGAATCCAATATGGGTGAATATTAGAGGTTTTTAGTAAAATTTGCTTTGGAATTGTATAATTTGGAAAGAAAATACAAATAATGTTGTGAATTTTTACTTTATTGAACTTTGGCATTGGTAGCCCTTCAAAGGCTTCAAAATGGATATTAGCAAAAGCAAACAGTTCATGAAGTTCATGAGTAACCAAATCATCAGATCATGGAAGCAATTGTGGGTGGAAACAGAAAGCCCCTGTCCTGTATGTGTTTCAGTTTGACTCAGTGAGCTATACTGTATTTCATGAAAATAGACCTGAGTTCTAGAACTAAATGAAAACTCAAATATATACATAGTTTTTCTCTATTTTTTTCACCAAGATTTCAATTTTAAAATGCCACCACATTTTTATATGTCTGGTTGGGAAAGATGACTTTTCTCAAAGTTCTGTGTTTTTAAATAAGATGCTGAGGCTTGGGTCCCAAAGGTTCAAGATAATTCTATAGGCAGCAGCTGTGGGCTCATTTTGAAAAGACAAAATGTAGCTTTACTTTCTGTCAGTGAGGTTTTCGGTCCCAAGTGCTGAGTTAACACAAATGAACAATTTAGCTTTCTTCTAGAATATGAATCTTACTAATTGTGGGTATGAAAATGAAGTCTGAGCTCTGAACCATTCAGTGAAGGAAGGAGGAGGCAGACATTTTCAGCAATTGAGACAGAAGCCCAAACCTGGGCTCATCTTCAGGGAATTTGAAGAGTGTCTGGTAAGTGCTAATGTGTGTAGCGAAATCAAAGGATATCTTAGGAAGTCTGCTGCCCACTAAGTGTTTTCTCTCTTTATTTAGGTGAAGCATTAACAAGTCAATAGGCTTAACTTAGATATTCAGAATATGAAACCAGTCACTTAAAAAAAAGCTTTATTTTATTCAATAAAAAGATTGACAGATAATTATTACATCTACCATGTGGTAGGCACTGAATTAGAGGCCTGTGCATATTGGTGAACCTTTAGACATGGCCACTGCTTTTATGGGGCTTGGATTCTAGTGGGAAAGATGTGTACTAAATAAACCAACCCAATAAACATGGGGTGCGGCATTGTTCAGAACAGTAAAGTTACGGAATCAACCCAAGTGTCCATCAATGAGCACTTAGATAAAAAAAAATAGATAAAAGTGTGGTATATAAACCCAGTAAAATATTATGCAGCCATAAAAAGAATGAAATCCTGCCATTTGCAGTGACATGGATGGAACTGGAGGGAATTATGTTCGGTAAGATAAGCCAGGAACAGAAAGACAAATTTGGCTTCTTCACACTGATGTGTTGAAGAGATAGGAGTTGATCACATGGAGGTAGAGAGTAGAATGATGGTTATCAGAGGGGATAAAGACAGCTTGGTTTACTGGCAATATATTTGGATGTGTGTTCCTGCCCAAATCTCATGGTGAATTGTAATCACCAGTGTTGAAGGTGGGGCCTGGTGAGAGGTGATGGGATCATTGGGGCGGATTCTCGTGAATGCTTTGGCACACTCCCCTTGGAGCTGTTCTCGCAATAGTGAGTTCTTTTGAGATCTGGTCATTTAGAAGTGGGTAGCACCTTCTCTCTCTCTCTTTCTCCTGTTTTTGCCATGTGATGGGCCTGCGCCCCCTTCACCTTCCACCATGATTGTAAGTTTCCTGACGTCTCCCCAGAAGCTGAGCAGATGCCAGCATTGTGCTTTCTGGAAAACCTGCAGAACCATGAGCCCATTAAACCTCTTTTCTTTATAAATTACTCAGTCTCAGGTATTTCTTTATAGCAACACAACAACAGGCCGAATATAATTGGTATGAAAATACAGTTAGATAGAAGGAATAATTTCCAGTGTTTGAAAGCACAGTAGGGTGATGATAGTTAAAAATAATTTATTGTATGTTTCAAGATAGATAGAAGAAAAGATTTAAAATGTTCCCAACACAAAGAAATGATAAATATTTAAGATGATGGATATTCTGATTACCCTTTTTGATTATTATGCATTGTAGGCGTGTATCAAAATATGACATGTACCCCGTAAACATGTACAATTATTATGTATCAATATAATTTTTTTTGAGATGGTGTCTTGTTCTGTCGCCCAGGCTGGAGTGCAGTGGTACAATTTCTGCTCACTGCAACCTCTGCGTCCTGGGTTCAACTGATTCTGGTGCCTCAGCCTCCCTAGTAGCTGAGATTACAGGTGCGTGCCACGACACACAGCTAATTTTTGTATTTTTTGTAGAGGGGGGTTTCACCATATTGGCTAGGCTGGGTCTTGAACCCTTGGCCTCAGGTGATCCTCCTGCCTCGTCCTCCCAAAATGCTGGGATTACAGGCATGAACCACTGCACCCAGCTCAATAGAAAAATTTTAAAAGCAGAGAAGAAGGCACCTCAACTGGAAGGAAAGGAAAGGTTTGCTGTTGGAATGGGACTGGGGGGTGGCTGGCCTGTTTTGGAAGTCACATCCTGTACTTGGAAACAGAATATAACCAATGCCTAGGTATATAATCCCCCTGATGAAATGCCACACAATAACATGGAGGACAGGCTGAAAGCGAACTAACTACTGTTCGTGAGATGAAAATACAGTGGTGGGTCCCTCGGGGCTTCACAGTCCTTCCTCTCGTGCCCCCTCAGTGTCTGCTCAGAGATGTGTGGGGCTCTCTTCACCAGCAGCGACTCCTCTAACTTTGGCCACATACTGGTCATCCAGGGGCCTCCTAAAATCCAGGAGCATAAAAACAAGTGGAATTTCTGAGAACCAAAGATGGCGCATGGCTGTGCTTGGGCTGCCACAGGCAGTTTTGTGAAAAAACAGATGTATTTCTCATAGTCCTGGGGTCTGGAGGTCCAAGGCCAAGGTGTATTCAGGGCTGACTCCTCCTAAGGCCTCTCTCCTTGGCTTTCAGATGGCTTCTTCTCTTGTGTCCTCACAGGGTTGTCCCTCTATGGGTGTCTGTGTCCTGATTTCTTTTTACAAGGACATCAGTCCTAATGACTTCATGTTACCTTAATCATTTCTTTAAAAGCCCTATTTCCACATACTGACACATTCTGAGGTCCTGGGTTAGGACTACAATCTGGGAATCTTGGGGGATGCAATTCAACCTGAAGCAGATGGGGGTCTCATAGCCTGTGTCACCCAAGCTCATGCCAGAGCCCCGTGAGGGAGCCCCGGGCCCCCCCTTTGATATGGTTTGGTTGTGTCCCCACCCAAATCCCACCTTAAATTCCCATGTGTTGTGGAAGGATGGAAGTGATAATAATTTGACAGCAGAGAAGACAATTGCTGCCAGAGAGGGGTGAGGGGACCCCAGACCTCTGAAGGTTGGAGGGTCCCAGGCCCTGGGCAGAGCAGGTAGCCCCACCCCTGTGACACCCCTGATCACAGCTCAGGAGTTGGAAAAGGTGGAATCACATGCAGAGGCTGGCTGGGGAGGTAGGAAGTTGTTGAATGAGTTTTTAAATATTTCCGTCAAAATTCTTACTGCAGCCTCAGTGTTGATGGAGACGAGTGGCTTCTCCTTATTTCTGGCTTCTCCCTGGCTCTGACTCTGGGACCCTGGCCTGGTCCCTGGCCTAGGGCTGCTGGTTGGGTCCATTGCTGGCAGCAGGTAGAATGTGAAGGAGGGAGAGGAGCTGTCCTCACTCCTCTCCTACTCATGCCTGTCCATGTCAGCAGCCCCTCCCTAGGCATCCCTCGCCCATGGTGTGGGCAGTGCTATTCTCACTTCCCTTGGGCCCTGCCCACCCACCTCCAAAGAATCCCGTCAGTGACTCCTTTTAATCACCTCTTTGTCTGTGACAATGTCTTCTGGGGCCCTCTGGCTGATATAAGGAGAAGCCTGGCTTTCTGTATAACTTGTTAAAGTGAAGTGAATCATTCACACTGGCATGTATCTACAAGTCACACAGCTTTGCAACTGGAGTGACTTTAAGCTCATCTAACCAAACCTTCCGTGACAGATGAGGACACCCAGAATCATAGGATAGAAGTGACTCGCTCCCATCTGGGTTGACCAAGCTGAAACTCAAGCGCAGAGTCTAGCAAAGCACACTTCATCTTCTCTTAGAAGGAAGATCCTGCTGGCATGGCTCACCTCCACCTACCCTAGGTCTCCCCCACCCTCCCTTAGAAGGAAGGTCTTAGAAGGCAGCATTGTTCACCTTCACCTACCCTAGGTCTCCCCCACCCTCAGAGGGGAGTATTTGGTTCAATCGCAAGACTACTCCAGACATCCATTAAGAACAAATGGTTTCCAGCACAGTCCTTTCCTGGGGTCTGCCTTTTCCCTCTGGGATGCTTGGAAGTTGAAGGGGTCAGGCAATTCAAGTCCTCCCCGGTATCTCAGGGGCCACTGACACACAGGAAAATGTGCTGCTCTGCTCACTGTTTGACTTTGGTGGATGCAAATTTGTTCTAAATGAGCCTGACATTCATTAGCATGTAAACATATGTTGCTGGTGGTGGCTAGCAGGGCCACGTGCTGATGGATCTCGTGGGCTGTCCCCGCCGGACACCACCAGGCTGCCTGGGTCTGTGTTGTTTCTGGCTAAGGCTCCACATGTTGTTTTTCTTGCACTATGAAGTCTACATTTTAGCTACAGGGTCATTTTTTTTTTCCACTGGAGAAACACAGACACATTTGTGAAAAGAACCTGAGTTTATCCACCGATCTACTGGAAGGAGCCTCTTAGAATGTCAACTGCTCAGCATCTGCCTTGACTCCCAGGCAGTTCTCACTGTCCTGTGGCTCAGAGACTCCATGGGGCTGAATTATATATTTGATTCCAGTTCTGCTCAATATTTCCCCACAAGTAGTGCTGTGGATGCATCTGATGCCTTTAGAGATATCTGCAGCAGGAATAGTGCAGAGAATAAAACACGCCATGCTAAAATATTTTTGCTGAAGGCAATTAAGAAGTGCTCTGGCCTTCCCTCTATTTTCTGAAAAATACACAACATAATCATATTATACAAAGGCAAAAGTGCCCTTTCTCCCCTCTCTGCCAGGAAGGATGCAGGTCAATCTCCGCAGACAACTTCAGACCCTTATCATTCAGGAGACAGCACCAGAGGAATTTACATAAAAACTCTCATTTATTGGTTTTCCCACAATTTGCTGCCCCCAGTGACCTAAAGTCCTTTTACTTTGTCTTGGCACTTCTCAAAACATTTATGATCCTTGTCGAAGATGTTATATCAATGAAAGTTCTGAGCTGTCTCTTTGAGATTCCCTCATTCCCTGTTTATCTCCCACATATATATGAGATATACATGCTAATTAACCTCTGTTTGCTTTTATTGGGTTCATCTGCCTTTTGTTATAGGAACCCCAGCCAATGAAGCTAAGATGGGTGGAAGAAAAAATTACATTTTTCTCCCCTGTGGCAGCATTATTCTAGCAATAGCGTTTTTTTGTAGATTTCTGTTGAATTCATAAACACACACACACACACACACACACACACACTCACACAGAGCAATGTAAAAAGAAAGAAGTGTGGGGAGTCCTGATGAAAGTTTAGGTCACAGAGATACCTAAATATGTTGGAAAGTTGTGTTTAAACATTGATTTTTTCCCACATTTATTCTCATATTTTGGAATTTTTTTTTCTTCTGAGATACCATTTCTAGTTTGTTTTCTCTACATTTTCTTTCACATCCAAGAAAGTATGCTGGTTAACAGTGTGTCCAACGTACTGCCTCTGTCCTTGTCAGTAAACAAATGTGGTAATGGAGAGGGATATGGGAGTCACACTACACCGGGATGGAAACACAGATATGAAGTAAATAAAAACACGTGAAAACCCAGCATTTCTGGAACTCTCACCTATTCCTGTGCCAATATCCATCCTTCAGCTCCCCCTCCATTCTTCCCTTCTTTTCTCACACTATGGGGTCTGCTTTGGAGATGTTATCTACTTCCATTCTTCCAAAGTCAAGCTTCTAGCTTTGGTTGGAACTGCAGAACCATTTACTTATTCGGCAAATATTTTCTAAGCACATGTATAGGCACTGAAAATACCATGGTTCACCAACGTGGCCCCTGCTCTCCCGAACTTGCAGCCTGATAGGGAGCGTGGACACTAATATAACAACCACTCTGATGGGTTTCTGATTAAGAATTGAGGAAAGTGCACCAAAGAAAGGGAAGTGGGATTCTGTAAGTTTATGCTGTAAAAGAATTTGGTGTATCTTGGGATGAGAGGTAGAAAACAGATGCATTCTGGAAGGGATGATCCCCTTGCAATCTGGAGAGAAGCAGAGGTTGATTGTTCAGGGGGGCAGAGTGTAGGGACACCACAGTCTAAACAGAGACGGGGGTGCATGCAGAACGCCTCCTGCAGCAGGAAACAGGCACGTGCAAGGAAGTAAGCAAGAGAGAAAGCGGCGCAAGACAAGACAAGAACGAAGGCAGGCAGGAAGGGGCTGGGAGATTATGGTAGATGCTTTTTTCTCTTAATAACAGCAATGGGACGCTGTTGAAAGCACTTGAGGGAGGTGGGGAAGTGAGTATGACATACTTTGTGTTTGTAAAATTATCACATTGTCTTACCAAACTAAATATACTCTTTATTTATCATTATTATTATTATTTATTATTATTTTCTTTTTGAGACGGAGTCTCGCTCTGTCGCCCAGGCTGGAGTGCAGTGGCGCGATCTCGGCTCACTGCAAGCTCCGCCTCCCAGGTTCACGCCATTCTCCTGCCTCAGCCTCCCGAGTAGCTGGGACTACAGGCACCCGCCACCACGCCTGGCTAATTTCTTGTATTTTTTTGGTAGAGATGGGGTTTCACCGTGTTAGCCAGGATGGTCTCGATCTCCTGACCTCGTGATCCGCCCACCTCGGCCTCCCAAAGTGCTGGGATTACAGGCGTGAGCCACTGCGCCTAGCCTTTTTTTTATTTTTTAATTTTACTTTAAGTTCTGGGATACATGTGCAGGTCTGTTACACAGGTATACATGTGCCATGGTGGTTTGCTGCACCTATCAACCTGTCATCTAGGTTTTAAGCCCTGCATGCATTAAGTATTTGTCCTAATGCTCTTCCTCCTCTTGCTGCCACCCCCCAACAGGCCCCAGTGTGTGATGTTCCCCTCCCTGTGTCCATGTGTTCTCATTGTTCACCTCCCACTCACGAGTGAGAAAATGTGGTGTTTGGTTTTCTGTTCCTGTGTTAGTTTACTGAGAATGATGGTTACCAGCTTCATCCCTGTCCCTGTAAAGGACAAGAACTCATTCTTTTTTATGGTTGCATAGTATTCCATGGTGTACACGTGCCACATTTTGTTTATCCAGTCTATCATTGATGGGCACTAGATATACTCTTAACATGTGATCCAGCAATTGCATTTATCCAAAGGAGTTGAAAACTTGTGTTCACAGAAAAACCTGCACATGGACGTTTACAGAAGCTTTATTCATAATTGCTAATTTTATAGCAGCTTTATTCATAATTGCTCAAACTTGGAGGCAACCAAGAAACCAAAATATTCTTCAGTAGGTGAGTGGATAAATAATGTGATATATCCAGACAATGGAATATTCTTTAACACCGAAAAGAAATGAGCTATCAAGTCATGAAAAGAAATGAAGGAACTTTAAACACATACGACTACACGAAAGATACCCATCGGAAAAGACTAAATACTGTAAGCTTCCAACTAAAGGACATTCTGAAGAAGGCCAAACTATGGAGTGAAAATATTAGTGGTTCCCAGGTGTTGGGAAGAGGGAGAGATGATCAGGTGGAACATGGAGGATTTTTAGGATTTTAGTGCAACTGCTCTGTATGACGCTATGATGGTGGATACATGTCATGATACATTTGTTACACCCATAGAACCAGCACCAAGAGTGAGCCCTCATGTAAACTGTGGACTCTGGGTGACAATATGTCAATGTAGGTTCTTCAATTGTTACTAATGCTCCCTCTGGGCAGGAGTGTTGTTAGTGGAGGAGGCTGTGCATGTGGGGGAACGGAAGGCATATAAAAGGACTCTCAGTACCTTTCCCTCAATTTTTCTGTAAACCTAAAACTGCCTAAAAGATAAAGTGTATTTTTAAAAAATAAAGAAAAAAAACCCCTAAAAATCCTCACAAAAATCAAATGAGAAAATGATCACACTGGATGCTTCCGGTCAAAATGGAAGAACAAGGGCTGTATTTACCATCCCACCAGATGGCTTTTTTCCTTACTGCTTTTCAGCATTGTTTTGGAGTCTAGCCAGTGCAATAAGGCAAGTTGAAATATATAAAACACACCTTTACTAGAAAATAAGATTTAAAACTATCTGTATCTGCAGGTGACCTAATCACCTATGTGGAAAATCTCCTGAAGTCACAAAAAGCCACTAAAACTAATAATAATAAATTACTTACTAATAAATGAGTTTGGAAAGTTTGCAAGATACAAGATCAACACACAAGCAGTATTTATCTCTTTATACACTGGCATGAAATAATTGGAAATGGAAATTTACAAAGCAATATTATTTATAGCACATCAAAAAATGAAATATTTAAGACTAAATCTGACAAAAGATGTGTAAGATCTATACACTGAAAAGCAGGCAGTGACGCTGAGATAAATTAAATAACTAAATAAATGAAGTGATATACTGTGTTCATGGATCAGCAGGCTCAATATTGTTAAGATGTCAATTGTGCCCTTGTGGATCTACAGGTTTAATGCAATTCCAGTCAAAATCCCAGCATGATTTTATTTTATTCTATTTTTTTTTCAGTAGAAATGAACAAGCAGTTTCCAAAACGTGTCTGGAAATTCAAAGAACCCAAAAAAGCTAAGACAACTTGGAAAAAAAAAGGTGGAGGACTTACCTTAACTATCAAGATAGTGTGGTATTGGTATAATAAGAGAAAACTGGGCTAATGAAACCTCCTAGAGGGTCTAGTAATAATCTCACAAATATGTTACATACATGCAGTGGATTTTTGAATAAAGTTTCAAAGACATTAAATTAAAAGGACGATAATGATGATAGAACGATTAAATACCATATACCAAAAAAAGAAAAAAGAACTCCTGCTAAACATCTTCACATCGTTGGTGTCACTCATGCAGTTCAATTCACATTTTGCATGTCTTAAAGTTGAACAGACCTCTTCATTCTCCTTTCCCCAATTCACAGAGATGCTGATGTCTTTCAGTGGAACTTGAAGGTTTGCTACTCTTTTTAAAATGACTCTTAGATACTATTTATGCAAGAAGTTATGGGACTATAACTGACAAATACTGTTCCAAACCTTGGAATCACACATTCCCCTGTTTCTCTACTTGTCGTTTCTAATCAGTTTCCCATTTCCTCTTTCTCCTTCATAGTTACACTGCATTTCTTCTAGTTCAGGCTCTTCTTACCCTGCTTGATCTCTTGATGTGGTCACCTGAAAGTCCTTCCTGTTCCAGCCTCCTGGAATCCTTCGTTCATGACCCTGCAGAACTGCCCTCCAGACCAGCAGGTCTGACCGTGGAATCAAGGATCTCAAAGCCGAGTGGGATCTGAGAGGCTATCTAGACCAATCCTCCGCTACAGACATACACCTTTTGGTGACTTCACTTTAGAGCCCAAAATATTTGCACTGCAGGCAGAATCACCTAAATCACTTAATATGATGTTCAGTCTTCCCGTGGTATTTTCCTATGTGCATCTCCCTACTTTCAGTCAGCCATTTCTCACTCATGACACCGAATCCTTCATTCACATCACATTATGGTTCTTCTCCACACACACTCATTTGTTTTCTGAGTGGGTTTTTTGTTACATTACTCCCTCTGCTGGAAATATCATTTTCCAAGATCTGACTACAGAATTTTCATGTATTCCTCAGAATGACTCAAATATCACGTATTCTACCAAATGGCTGCAGATTCTGTCACCTCCTCTCCCATCCTGTGGCAACCTGGAGAGTGTTCTTCTCTCAGCCAATAGGATTTATCATGGTCCTTCTTTATCTTAACAATAGTTTAGCAGGACTGAGAACTGGGAAGCAGATTTTTCTCCCAGGGGTGAGAACTGTCTTAGTTTAGCAGATCTCACTGGGTCTCCATTCTGGTTGTGGAAAAGCAGCCCATAGGGCATGGTGGGGAGGAAAAGAAGAGGAACTAAGCTGTGTTGCATGAAGATGGACAGTCGTGACCCTCACTCCGGGGTTGGGAGTTGAGCTCACTAGGAAGGAGAAGCTGTAAGGATGAAGGCGAGGCATAAAAAGTGACGCAGGCTGGGCGCGGTGGCTCACGCCTGTAATCTCAGCACTTTGGGAGGCTGAGGTGGGTGGATCCCGAGGTCAAGACTTCAAGACCAGCCTGACCAATAAGGTGAAACCCTGTCTCTACCAAAAATACAAAAATTAGCTGGGCGTGGTGGCACACGCCTGTAGTCCAGCTACTCGGGAGGCTGAGGCAGCAGAATCGCTTGAACCCAGAAGGTGGAGGTTGCAGTGAGCCAAGATCATGACACTGCACTCCAGCCTGGGTGACAGAGCGAGACTTCATCTCAAAAAAAAAAAAAAAAAAAAAAAGTGATGCATAGTGAGAAGACTGTCCGAGGAGAAGAGGCAATCAGCAACCTTCTCCAGGGTGGGATGGCTGAAGACCCTTTACGAACAAGGGTGTCTACTTTCTTTCTTTAAGATGCTCTACCATGATTTAATGAATCCACCCAATCTACTGTATTCAGTATTTGGCATGAGTCGATTTAGGGGAATTCTAGAAAACATAGCTGGCTGTTATCATCAGGTTAAAATAGATTGGGAAGAAGGGAAAAAACTCCAGGAGATACGTAGGAAGGAAAATATGTGAAAACAGAAGAAACCTGGAGTAAGTTCACCCTTCAAATAAAATCCAATTTCCAAAAGACATTGTGAGGGCTGCTGGGTCTTCCACACCTGAAGATGGGGGATTCCAGATAATTATACTTGAATCTCACAGGATGGGGTGACCACCACCAGCTGTCACATGGGATGAGTTACAATATCTTCTATTGGGAGGAAGTAAATAGGAGGTTATGTACACGTCTGTAATCATCACAATTTTGTCAAGATTGCTGTTTTTACTCCCATGTCATAGACGGAGAGCCTGATGCTTGGGAAATGATTTGCTCAGGGTCTCACCATCAAAAGTGGCAGAGGAAAGATTCCAACATGTTTTAAAAGCTGCAAACTGAGCTGACTCCCATCCATGCTGTCATACCGACTTTTAGATTTCAATCCTCCTGAAGGCAGGAAACATATTCCATTTGCTTTTATATCCTCCGTAACAGTAGTGAGCAAGCTTTGCTCAAAGTAACATTGAATATTTTGCTGAATCGAGGTGAAAAAGAAGTAAAAGACTTAAATGACACCATCACAAGTCAACATTCAAGGAACAGAGACAGAATTAGCATTAGCTGTACCAATCAAATCAACATGAACATGCGCTTTTATTCTTTACATGGGGGTAAGACACCAAACACAATAGAAAAAATGAGCCAGGTATAAAAAATTTGTCACTAAGGGATGGATTTAGACAGACAGGAGAGCAGTGAAGTAGGTTATAAAATGCTCAGCATAATCCATCCATTTTAATGAATTATTAGCTGAAACATGCAAAGCATTTAGGATTTCTGGGAGAAGTGTACACACATACCAAATGTTTATCTGACATTTTCTTCACTGCTTCTGTCTTTCCACAGGGCTGGAGATGTTGTTGACCAACGGCCTTGGGAGGAGGGGTTGCAGCTGAGCCCACACCCTCTCAAAATCCTTTGGACTATTTCTATTTTTGTAGACTAATTTACCATTAACAGCAAATCCCTAAGATTTACTCAACCAGTACAGCAGTCGTTGGCCAGAGTTCAAATTTCTGATTCGAAGGAATCTGAGTTCTGCCTGCCAGTATTGAATATTAATGGCTTCCTCCATCCAGGAGCTGTGTCTTTGCTCACTACGGAACAGTGTTGAGGCTTTGAATGGGGCATTTTGCTGGTCACCTCCTGGTCGTCCTTCTGCTCACCAAGAGCAGATACTGTTCTCAGCCCCTTACATTTACAAGGTCGTTTAATTCTCACACAGTCCTTTCGGATAGACACTACTATCATCCCCATTTTACAGAGGAGGAGACTGAGAGGCAGAGGACATAGGTGAATTGTCTGAGATCGCAGGGCTGGCCGTGGAGCTGGGACTTGCACCCGGCCAGCCCGGCTCCAGAGTTTACTACCCTCCTCCTGTACAGCAAGTGCGACCTACACTAATCACCGCCCAAACAGGCAGGCACTGCAGACAGCTAAGCACACTTCATACGACTTAAGCACGCAGGAAGGTTAGTTTTCATTCTGGTGTTCAGCTCAGTTAGGACTCTGTTTTTATCGCCACAAAGATGCACGACCCAGAAAGCACAGTCACGTGCCGTTGCCTTCTACGGTCACGGTTTTCTACTTTTTGGCCTCATTTTCCTGCCCGCTTGGCCTGCTGGGATGTGAATGATGCGTTACTTCTTCTACAGAATGCAGGTGAGCAGGTGGACGTGGCGAGGTGGGTGATTGGACAAGGTTTCCCGACAGCTGGAAGCTTGGGAGAGACCCGCGGTGGCTCCTTGTTATTCTTCCTGGACGAGCCTCCTCTGGTGTCGAGCGTGAGTCCCTGATCGCCGGTGCCAGGTGGTGTCACAGCTTTTCGCACCCGAGAGCGACAGCCAGGGCGGGTTCTCTCTGTCCAGCGCCCCCCGCCCTGCCCCGCTCCGCTTCTTTAGTGAGAGAATTTCTCGGACTCTTGGGATTTTGCAATCAGAAGAGTGATCATTACAATTTTCATTTCGAATATTGTGGCCCTGCTGGTCTCGGTGCAACAGGCTCTTTCAGGGAGATTGGCAGAGATGCTGACGGGGAGACAGAGGGGAGTGGGAAGGACTCATGGGATGCAGCTCTGAGCTCCCCCGGGAGGGAGCGACAGAAACGTGGGTCTACTCTTCACATGGCCGCAGACTCTCCTGTGTCCTCCGTGGAACCTGTCGAGGCGGCGTTAGGCGCTGGCCCTCTCCGGGGTGTGAGCGCAGTGAGCCAGGGAACATCTGCCCTCCCGCCCCCATCTCTGCAGCCGGGTCCTCCTGCAGTTTCGACTTTTTGAGTGAACGCAGCAACCTTCCCCAACCTGCTGATGCTGCAAAAAGGAGCTGGAAAAGAACGTGCGCAGCTTCTCCAGGCTTAGTATTTGTTAATTTTTAGTTGGGAAACTTTGGCTTGAAACTTGGCTGCCCCAGTACAAGAGTGTGCTGAGGATTTTATTATCCTGCTGGATTCTCCCAGGAGGGCAAGTGGAAAACGAGCTAGGTTCTCTCTCTGTCTCTGTCTGTCTCTTGCTCTTCTTTCTGACCCTGTTTCTCTTTCTCTTCTCTCTCTGTGTCAGTCTCTGTCTCTTCTCTCTGTCTCTGTTCCCCTTTTCCTCTCTTCTCTCTCTCTCCCTCCCTTCCTCCCTTGTATTGCTGCAAATAATATTCTTGTTGAATTTGTTTCCCCATATCTTCTGCCTTTCCTTAGAATACGTTCCTAAAAGTCTACTCATTGTGAAAAGCAAACGGCCTTTACATGTTTTTCAAATCTAACAGATGGGGGCCTTTCACAGACAGGGCTTCGTTGTACACTTTTATCAAGAAGCCCGCGGCTTCCTGCTCGCCACGCTGCAGTCACACTCAGGAGGCCCATGGAGAGCAGAGGCCTTGGGGCTACACTGAGGGGTGTCTTTTTTCCAGTGTCCAGAAGGTATACTTTGGGGGGCAGTTGAAGTAGGAAAGTGACATCATCACTCCATGTATGGCATAGGTTTGTCAAGTACACAGTGTGCGCCAGACCCCAGACTGGCGCTGGGTGGGGATGAAGCACTTCAGTTACTGCAGGGTGGGTTGGGCTGGGGGCTGCCGGGCTCTGGGGATAGATGTGTCGGCTCTCAAAGCCCAGGTAGCAGCTGTCTTAGGCTGCACGGCCCTCCTCACCGCTTCAGTTCCTGAAGGGAAAGGCCCCAGGAGACTGAAGTGAAGAACGCTCTTCCATTTTCAACTCACCCGCCGTTAGGGTTCTGTCCCCTCTACACTCCAGCCCCCCAACCGGGAAGTTCCCGGGGCCCCTGGCCAGTCACTTGCCGAAGCCTCGCTCTCCAGGATCTCTATGAAGAGGCACCTTACTCTAATGCATGCTTCTCCGGGAATATTTGCTCTGGAAACGGCTGAGAATAAAAACCCATCTCTAACAGTGTGGTTGCAGGTGGGTGGCCCCAGGGCAGGTGATTTTGGGAAGGTGGGGCTGGCTGGCGCCCTGTGTCCCGACTTTACTTCTGAGCCTCCGCAAAACCACTTTTGAGAAAATTAATTGGGGTGGGTACTCCTGGGTGGCATTTTCTTCTAAGTGTGAAAATCTATTTGTAGAATTCCTGTAGTCGCAGGAGCTGTGGTTGTCTGTCACGATCCTGTGGGGACCGGGGCTGCCCTTCTGTGTCCTGGCAGTGTGGGGCCCATTTCTCTAAAACTGATTAATTTCCTTTCATCTCTTTCTGCTTCCACTGCAGTTTTTCAGGAAAGTATGTCATCTTCTCCGTTATCCCCATTAGTCTCTTCAATAAAACGCCCGTGAGTTTTCCATAAACCGAATTTAACGGTGTCCAGGGGAAATCCTGCTGTCCAGACGTCTTTTCTCTTTTCTTAAATGAGTGCATGGTGGCCATGGTTGGGATCACACTTCCTCTTTCCCCAAACTGAGGAAGCCCTGCTCTGATATACTTCAGGGACTGACTGAGGAAGCCCTGCTCTGATATACCTCAGGGACTGGAACCTCCTAGAGTGCTTGGAGCAGGTGGCCAGTCCTTCCGTCTCAGGAACACTTAACTTTTCTTAAGAGTTTAACCTGTTTTCTTTTTCTCTAACACTTCCTGTGGCATCTGAAACCTGGGTTTCTTTCTGTCATTTATGCTTTGGAAATTTGCTTAAGGTTTTCATCCATTTTCTTCCATCTCATTTCCTCTGAATGGATTTGAGAAGAATCTTCTCTTCGTTTCTAATTCTGTTTCTTTGGTTTTGCATTTCAAAGTCCTGTGGCATCCCCTCTCTAGTCGCTGGTGAATTCCTGTGTATCTCAGGTCGCACTTGATTCTGGGCTTGTTTTTCTCCCCATCTTCTTACATTACTGTGGTCAATTTACAAATATGACTCAGCATAAATGTTTTCCTTTTTCCTCACTTTAGGATCCCTTCACCAGAATTTTCCTGCAAAAAAATTTCACATGGAATCCCACAGGCTCAGAGTTTTTAAAATTTTCTTTATTTCATTATTCTTTATGTTTTTTTATCTTTTTATTTTTATTTACCTTTTATATTATCTTTTTATGTTCTTTATTTTCTTATTCAAGCATGTAACTCAGAGTCTCTCATCAGCTTGTCCTTCCCCCAGTGTGCTGATGCTTCGCTGCCTGCACTGACCATCAGGCACCTGGGTGTTTGGAAGGAGTCCACTGAATTTCCATGGAAACCTGGTCTCACTGATGGACCCAGTCTGGGGAGGGTTCCTGGGATTGAGGACGAGGCTTCGGCACTCAGGAGCTCTGAATGTGCTGTTAGCAGTTCGGCCAGCCAGCTTGTCCTGGACATCGGCTAACGTCTCATGCATGGGGTGTGCTGGCCCGGAGGCCAAAGCTGGTCAGGGCAGGAAGCTGGCTCAGAAGGTCGGTGCCAATTAATGATACAAAACATTGCAGAGGCCCGAGGATTCAGCGGGCTTGGCTAAATCCCTTGTTTGGCCTGCTTGCTGTTTCTGTTTTATCCTGCTGACCAAGAGCTGTGTGACACCCTTAGACAATAGTCACATATTTTCTTTTCATGTAAAAATAGTAAGTAGAAATTTCATATAGAAAATAAGAATTACGTGTACATTAATCTTTATGCCTATAAGATACTGTGACAAATGAAAAGAGAAACAAAAATAAAATACACATTTTCTGGGAAGGCAAATTTTATGTTTAGTGGACGTGCTGTTAAATATTTATCGTTTGTGATCAGTTTTAAGGGAGATAAAATCCGAAATAGTGTTTTTGAGGACAATAGTGGAGGCTAGTTCTGTATCACTGATTTGGAAACAGACACTAAGAGTTCATCCATCCCGGGTTAATGGCTGTTTGGAATGCCTTTGTAGAGCACGCTAAGATATATAAATGACACAGTCTCAACCCTTTGGTAGATTCAGCATCTCTCCTGTGGTAATCTGTGATACTAGACAGAAAGCACGCTGATAAGCTTCACGAGACAGATGGGCTCCTGTTCCCAGTTAGGTGATGGCCTCCTTCTGTGGGATCACCCATTCCCACAGGGTGACATGTGACTTCCAATGGCTCCTCACAAGGAGAGTCCCTAGTCCCCATCCCGTTGATGTGTATCTACATTCCCTCCCATTGATTCCCATCCCAGCAGCCACGTGACATCTTTGGCTAGTGGAACCTAGTGGACGTGCCCTGTGCCACCTCCCAGCAGAAGGTTTGGAGTCCTTGCCTTGATTCTTCGATCTGCCATGAGAGTGGTCCTGCTGACCCAGGGGCTGGCCTTTCAGCCAGGCCTTGATAAGAGAATCCGACAGGTAGACCTGAAGCCAGTCCTCAGCACCAAGGACCAAGAGCAAGAAATGAACGTGTCTTATGAGCCACTGAGATTGTGAGCTTGTTTGCTTAAGCTAGCTGATGTATCGAGGCAGTACCAATAGCGAAAACAACATGGTTAGTAATGTCAAGACCGAAGGACTCCTCTTACTGGTCACAGATTTAGGAAACTATTGTTACTGAAATTTCATCTCCCAACCTCATTCCCATCTGAATTTACTACATCCCTAGGAGAGACTGTGATTTTCTGGGTCCCATAGGCCCCACTGAACTAGTAGCTGAGGATCAAGCAGGGCCATGATGATTTGTCCCAGTGACATAACAGCAACTGATTCCACAAGCAGCATAATTAAATAGTAAAAATGTTCGGTAAAGAATGTAAGTGCTAACTCTTAAATGTTACCCCTTTCAGCACCAGCAGTCCTCCTAATTATTGACATAGGTGTGTATTAGTCATTTTCACACTGCTCTGAAGAAATGCCTGAGCCTGGGTAATTTACAAAGAAGAAGAGGTTCAATGGACTCACATTCCACATAGCTGGGGAGGCCTCACAATCGTGGCAGAAGGTGAAGGAGGAGCAAAGGCACGTCTTACATGGTGGCGGGCAAGAGACTGTGTGCAGGGGAACTGCCCTTTATAAAACCACCAGATCTCATGAGAGTTATTCACTACCATGAGAACAGCACAGGAAAACCCTCCCTCATGACTCAAGTACCTCCCATTGGGTCCCTCCTATGACATGTGAGGATTATGACACTTGAAGATGAGATTTGGGTGGGGACACAGCCGAACCATATCAAGGGGTTTATGGTCTGTATTCCTGTGAGCACATGAAATGCGACCCTCTCTAAGGTGGGCGCCCTGCCTTCTCTGCTCCATGTCCTGACTGTGGACCAGAGCCTGGTGCGTAGTAAATGTTCATTTAATTTGTGTCGTCTGACCAAAGACCTGGCCCACAGTGGCCCTGGAGATGCTGGCACCAGAAACAGTGCTGGGAAGCCTCTGTTGAGTTGCTTTGCTCAGAATAGCAAAGGGATAGAGCCCATATGTACCCAGGGAATTTTCCAGCACTTTCTTTTTTTTTTTTTTTTTTTTTTTTGAGACGGAGTCTCGCTGTGTCGCTCAGGCTGGAGTGCAGTGGTGCAATCTCAGCTCACTGCAAGCTCTGCCTCCCGGGTTCATGCCATTCTACTGCCTCAGCCTCTCGAGCAGCTGGGACTATAGGTGCCTGTCACCACTCCCGGCTAATTTTTTTGTATTTTTAGTAGAGACGGGGTTTCACTGTGTTAGCCAGGATGGTCTCAATCTCCTGACCTCGTGATCTGCCCGCCTCGGCCTCCCAAAGTGCTGGGATTACAGTCCTGAGACATCGCGCCCGGCTGGATGTGCATTTTATTTGCTCTTTCTGTCTGCGTGTTTTTAAGGAGTTAGTTTTGGGATCCCTATGAACTCACACAGTCAATTAAAACAGGTAAAATAGTATAGCTTTGATGAAGATACACAGTACATACTCTTCTAGTCCAGGCACTATTCTTCCGTATTTAGAAATCTCCTTCCTTCCTTTATTTCTTTAGCCTTTCCTTTAATTTTTTTTTTTTTTGAGAAAAGTACTCCGCATATTCATGTGTGCATTCAGAAACATACATTGGTAAATGGCACCTGCAGGGAAGTATTTGACAATCAATGGGCTAATATATAATTCAAGAGTTTTCTTTTCCTTTATTTTTCAATTAATGTCAGCATCAGTTCATTTCAAATTAATGAATACCACAGGAAAAATAGGACCTCAGAAGAGGTAAGAATGTAACAAAAGTCAGAGGCAAACAAGATTCCCACAATTGATCATCCAATATTTTTATCTCTAATCTTTTAGAAGTGACTATTTTTATGTCTAATGAACACTCACTATGTTTACGTCCAGTGCACATTAACCATTTGTTCGGTCTTATTCTAAAAATGTTGAACTCTTTCCTTTTCTTTCTAGATTTCTTTGGGGGCAAGCTAATATAATTTTTTCATTGTCTTACAGAGGTATAAGGAGTTGGTTTCTTTCTCCTGCCCCCTCATTTCTGCAGCCCTGCTGTAATCAGCCAGCCCACAGTAAATGGAGCCCGCACTCCAAATGAGGTCTCACACAGAGCAGGAATGATTTTCACTGGCTAATTTAAGATACCTCCATTTATGCTTGACAGGAAGGCATTTTGTCCTGTCTATTCAAGATTCTTTTTAACAGCACACGAACTTTGAGAAATGTATCCCTTCTATAGCATCCCTTTAACTCATTTTAAAAATGTGCATTCATATGAAGAGATTTTGCATTTGTGGCATACATTTGTGAATGCCTATATTTATACGGACAGATAAAAAATTTATTTGTATACAAAATACACATAAAATTTGCCAACACACTCACCCGCATTCCACAGCCTCTCTTCACATCGGATGCTGCATAAAAGAGTTCACGTTTCAAGGATGCAAAATGCATGAGGCTACTTTTCAGAGAGCTCTCAGGCCAGGAAAACTAGGCTGCATCCAGGAACACTGGGCACAGCTGGAGATTGATGGTGTAAATACCAATTCAGACCCTAAACTGCTGACCACCGCCTCTCGGAGAGCTCAGGCCAGCCTTCCAAGTGTCTCTGCATGTCTCCATGTGTCATTAATCCATTGCTCAATGCCACGAAAATGCATCTGATGACTTTTTTTTTTTTCCCCTGGCAAACAGTTCCATTGAGTAGGCAGGTGGGAGTACTTTTAGCGTTTGCTGGTTAGTCTCTCCAACTTGATTGCTTTAGGCTAATCCCATTTTAAAGACCTGTGGAAAGTGCTTTGGGCTTGTGAATGAAATTTAATTCTATGCTTCCAACAGGAGGAAAGGCACTGGCCTGGTTTAGGGGCTGCACCTCTGTGGGCTTTCTCCTCTCTCCTCCCCACCCCTCACTCTGCTATCCCCTCGCTTCCCTGAAAGCACACAACTCACCCAAAACTGACCTGTCCAAACAACAAACAGCTTACAGTAGCTGGCCTGGAAAGATCTTGGAAATCCAATTTGCGTGTGATTATTTAATTCCTACTCCAGCCCCCCATTCAGAGACTGGAATGACGTGTCAGGAATTCATTTACATCCTGATTCTTATTCACTCTCATGCCTCCATTTTTGGACTTCAGGCGTTGCAGAAACAATTCCAATCTTGCAAAATGATTTTAATTTGATGGACGTTTTAGTGTTAATTCAGGTGTGATGAATTACTAATTTGAAACATCATTTTTTTTTTCAGTGAAACTGTATTGAAGAGGAGCCCAGACCTAGCTATTAATGGCTTCTCTGGCTAAACTTGTGAAATCATGGGAGACCAAAGCCATTCAGAATCATTTCTTTCTTTTTTCTTTTCTTTTTTTCCCTTCGCAATAAGCATGCTTCATTTTTCTAAACAGAACAAAAAGAGATACCTAGAGAGTTGAGAAAGGATTTTTCAGAGTGAGGTGCTGGGTGGTTTCTGGGAACATGGTTTTCCTCACTTCAGTGTTGGAAGGAAGATGTTTAATGAACCCTCTTCCTCTCAGCAGAGGTATCTCCAGACATCCAGGTGAAGGCAGATTTGGGGCCTATCAATTTAAGGCAGTTCACAGAGAAAATGTTTTCCCTTGATTTAATGTTTCCGGATGTGAACTGTAGGGCAGCTGATTCAAATCAGAGAAAATTTCTAGTCCGCCTTCTCGGAGGACTTTGCAGGTCCAGGGGGGTTAGATGCACCTGTTGGTCGTCAGCGTGGATCAGACCTGAGTTTTGACGATACACTGGCTCCCCCTGCTGGTTGCCTCTTGGATTCTCCATAGCTGAAACTGTTAACTGCCTGCTGTTCCTTCTCACCCCAGGACGTGAGAGAGCTTTCGGTTCCCTCCCCACAAGGCGAGTGTGCATCTTCCACTGCACCCCAAAGCTGCTGCCTGCTTCTCCTCTGTTTTCATAACCTGGGATGCCTTCCTCTGAGGTCTGCTTCACAAGAATGGATTCATCACTTCAATTTGCAAAGTCACAGTTGGGTGGACATTCCGGTCAAGAATTCCAGGCGGAGGCCCTCTGTCTTTGACAGCTGGCTCTAGGGTTTAGCTGTTTAGGTTTTTTTGCTCATGACTACTGGGATCTGCTCTGCTCAGGAACGATCCTCCCATAATGTGGACGTGGCCGAGGGCTTGGGTGGAACCTTGCAGTGGCGTCAGGGGCTTGCCCTCCAGGGACCCCACTCAGTGGGGCCTCTTACCATCTATTGACCAGGCTGTTTTTACAGAGGCACAGGGAGAGAGGCTAATGGGCAGAAGACGGACAGTAATGCCGACGGTTTTTGTCGGTAGCAATGCAAATGAATTTTGTCTGGTAGAGATACAATTGATTTCCTTTCTATAAGAAAGTGTAACCACAAGCATCATTTTGTTATTGGCCTGGAGGACATTTAGCAGCTTTATGCCTATTAGCAAGTTCATTCCAGATTCCAACCGCCTATGCGCACCTTGCGCTCCACGTGTGCTGTTGAACAAGTCGATATCTTATGTCTCCCTCCTTTATTGATGAGTTAAACATGCTCTTTGACATGTGTTGAATTTATTTTTACATGGAAGTCATATACATCTAGCCTACCCTGTCACTCCGCAAACTCAGGACATGCCTTTGGCCATATAGTCTCTGTTTTTCGATTAATCTCTGAACTTCTCAGTACCTCAAGGGCGTGAAGCACAGCCTCTCCCTTCAGAGCCTTTTTATCTCTGTGTTAGTCAGGGTTCTCCAGAGAAACAGAAGCAACAAGATAAATAGATAAGTGGATAGGCAGATGACAGATAGAGAGACAGATAGACAGATGGAAAGACAAACAACAGATAGACAGACGGAGAGACAAGCAACAGATAGACAGATGGAGAGACAAACAACAGATAGACAACAGATAGACAGATAGATGACAGACCGATAGATACATAACGGACAGGGATAAATAGATAGATGGACAGACAGACAGACAGGAATTTATAGAAGAGGTTTATTAAGAGGAATTGGCTTATGCGATTGTGGAGGCTGGGAAGACCCACATGTTCCCTCCTGCACGCTGGAGACCTGGGAGAGCTGATGATGTCAGTCCCAGTCTGCATCTGAGGCCTGAGAACCAGGAACTCAGATGTCCCAGGGCAGGAGAGGATGTCTCAGCTGAAACAGAGGAAATCTGCCCTCCCTTCACTTTCTGGTCTATTCAAGCCCTCGGGGGACAGGTTGATGTTGCCCACATGGGTGAGGGTGGAGCCTTTTCACTCAGTCCACTGGTTCACATGCTCACCTCTTCCAGAAATGCCCTCACCGCCCTCCCAAGAAATCATCCTTTACCAGCTACCTGTATACCCCTTAGCCTGGTCAAGACAATACATAAAATAAACCATGGCACCTTCCCCATCTTTGCAACGACTCTTCTGAGGTCCTGTGGGCTTATGTACCACAAGCCAGGAGAGAATTTGTGCCCTAGGATGGACAGGCGGTGTCGAGTGGAGGCTCGATCCTGCAGCCTGCGGTACACCATGGCCCCCAGGTCCTGGGCACACATGTCCGAGGGAAGCTACTCTGCTTCCACCAAGCCTGCAAGCTCAGGGGTCTGCCAAGTTGCTCCTGCTGGCACCTGTTCTGATGGGCACAGGCGGGTTCCATCACAGCCTGTTTCATCCACCTAACTCTGCTCTCCTCTCCTTTCTAGCAGCCATCAAAGGACATGTTGCTTTCCCTTTACTTGCTCAAGAGCAATTTCATTCCACTTTTCTAGGTAATTGTGGCTGTTGTCCCGCGGTTGTATTTCTAAGGTGCAGCAACAACCCTGCTGGCTCCAAGGTGACTTTTCCACCGAGGATAAAACGAGGAAGCTGGTTGACACTTTGTTCCCTAAAATACAAGAAACAAAACGTCCATTTAATTGTCGTGGGCACTCTACTCTGGAGGACACCCTGATCAGAAACTTCGCGTGACTACAAATCTTAGGCTTTGCAGTACCCACAGGCTGTAAAATGAACAGGTTCGTTTCAGTGGCTCAGAGGCAGTCAATACCATGTGTAGGCCTGGGAGGCCTCCCTCAGCTGTCCCCTGCCTTTGTGACTCCATAGCTCCTTGAGACAGAAACATCGATGTATGCAGCATGAGGTTCTGCTCCAAACGAAGAACACGCACCCCCTTAGAGTTCAGCAGACACTTCAGTGCACAGCAAGGAAACTGAGGCTCAGAGAACCAGTGGCTCCCTCACCCAGGTCATCAGAGGCAGAGCCAGGGCAAGATCTCTGTCTCCTTGGCTCCCGTCTCACAGTTCTGGGCCAGTTGGGCCCTTGCAAACTGGGCTTCCTGCCAGCCACGGCACTTCCTGATGAACAGGATGCATTAGCTCAGAGAGCCTATTTATCTTGGTTTTGCCCAGAGCAAGCCCTCGCTATGGCTGTTTCTGAATCTTCTGGGAGTTCGGGTGGATTTGTGGTCAGGGCTGAGGAGCTCTCTTGTTGATCCTTCGTTGGAAGTGGGAACTCCTGCATTTCTGTCTCAGAGTTCGATTACATACCTTGTTGAGTCACGAGTTCCCATCTACAGATGAGGAACCTGAGTTCAGCACCTGAGATCTACCAGCAGCTAAGGGGCTAGAGGGTGCTGGAACCCAGGACTCGTCAGCTCTTCTTGAAAGCGCACTGAATTCACATGGACGTTTAGTAATTTTAAAGTTCTTTTCAACTGGAGTCTAGAGTGTTTGTGTCCTTTGCACTTAATACTTAGGGCTTTGAATGACTCATCTTCCAAAAGATCTTTCTTTCCCCGAAAGCCAAGAGGAGGGCCTGTGTGAATAAGGACCAATCATCTCGTTGGGCATGAATATTGCTACTGAAAACTAATGTTTTCATGCTAATACCATGGAAGAGAAGAACACCAGTTTGGAATTTGGGGAACTGGATTTTTACTTTAAGTATTATTAGAACCTCTCGCATAATTGTGGCCAGTCCTTATCCTCTCTGGACTGCAGCTTTCTGGTTATACATTGCTCTGTTAGGCTCTAGAGGTCCTCCCAGCGTAGAGCTCTGCAGTGTTTCTACAAAGTAGGATCAGGAGTTGGGAGGCCCAGTTTTACCTCTGTGTGGCCTTGTCGCTGAGCCTCAGAAACTTGGCAAGATAAGGATAATTTTTGACTTTTTTAGCTTTAAAAATACAAAAGTCATCAGAACAAAATATTCAAAAAGAAGACATCAGCCCATCGTTCTTAGGTACTTTGGGATCATCAGGACAGTGTCCCCAATGATCTCAGCTGACAGTCTCCACATGATTCTTTCTGCTTATAAAGTCTCCATGCTCCTAAATTGTATTTTCTCGAATGCCCAGCTCTATCAGAAGCTGCCATCTGGAAAGGAGAATGGCATCAATTAGTTTCTGATAGGAAATCTCAAGAATCTCCAAAATTGGTCTTCAATTTTCTGGAAGCACGAATAGGAACTGGGTCTCAGCTGTGAAACTGAGGTCAGATACCAAGGACACTTTAATCAGTGATGGTCAGAAACATGTGTCGCCCCAAACACGGGTGTGCCTGCTGCACACAGCACAGTCACTGTGGTGTGATAATGGCCATCACTGCAGCCACTCAGCACAATAACTGTGGTGTGATAATGGCCATCACTGCAGCCACTCGCTCACACATGCACGAGTATTAGGTGGAATAAATCCATCGCAACAACTGCTTATAATTGACGGCTGTGCTCTGACAGTTGGTACAAATACGACTACCGACCACTTTTGTTTCTTGCACGTGTTCAATGAGAAAACCCTTTAAACATAGACAGTGCAAATTATGGTAGGAACAGAATAACACACGGGAAAATTAAAGACTTTCCTCTGAAAACCCCACTTTTAATCAAGGCTGGAAGTCAGAATGCCACAGTTGAAGGAAGAGGGACGTGGAGAAGATGATTATGCTAGAATGCTTAGGAATTCAATTTCACTTGCAACAAAATGGTGCCTGTGAGCTGCTCACACGGTAGACCTGCCAAACGACCTCACAAGCAATCCGGCAGTGCTTCCTCAGCGTCAAAAACCCCCAAGCAATCTGTGTGACCGACTTTTCACCACTAAGGAACTCTCTGGGTTAACACATGTTGGAGACACATGCTTCCTTACGTTTGTGGTTTTTCCAGTAAAGTCTAGGACCTCATGGGTTGCTGTTTTCCACTTTTCATTGGCAGGAACTGTGGGCAAAACATGAGATTGATAGGTCATTGGAATGGGTAGCAAATCCCAGGTTGATGCCCTGGCTCAGAGGGCAGCTTTTGAATCACGCGAATCTGGGTTCAAAATGTGGCTCCTCCCTTTGGTAGCACTGTGTCCTGAAGACACACTAAAGAGGCAGGCCACAGACAGAGGACCTCGGGGAGAGAGGGCAGACCTTCCTTCTCAGCCCTGGGAAAGATGTCCCCCGACTCGAAGCCTCCACGTGTCCATCCGGGAGGCAGGGATAAGGGTGGAATTCAGTTCACACTGCGGTGAGGATACTGTGTAGCAATGCTTATGAAGGGCTTAGCCTACTGACTGGCATTGTCCAGTACTCAACCATGGGTACACGCGGTTCTTTGCCCACAAAGGCGTTGGTCTGGCGTCTTTCACAAATACATCAAGGTCCCACGAAGGAGTTCCCCAAACCGTGTAACTGGGAACCCTTGTGCATGCCATATCCTGGGTTACTAAGTCAATGAGATTTGATTCTTCGGGATGTCTGAAGATTAAACAGCGTGAAAGGAACAAGTGAGATTTGATGGCCAAGGGTGTTTCCTTCAGGGGGCAGAGTCTCTAAACTGTGCAAAGAGAAAAGTGAGAGCCACACTCCCCTTGCAGAAAATCTTTACGGAGACCTGGCATTGCGGGTCTGAAAGTGTGAGTCATCTGGGGTGAGGGGAAAGGGAAACCCAGAGTGGCTATGTCCTCACCCGAAGAGTGGAGATGACTAAGGTGAATCTGAGAAACTGCCGAGTTTTGGAAGCCACTTGAGGGGCTGCAGTCTTGACCCTCGCTGCCTCTCAGCTTTTTTTTTTTTTTTTTTTTTTGAGACAGAGTCTCACTCTGTCACCCAGGCTGGAGTGCAGTGGTGTGATCTCAGCTCACTGCAAGCTCCGCCTCCCAGGTTCAAGGGATTCTCCTGCCTCAGCCTCCCGAGTAGCTGGGATTACAGGTGCGTGCCACCATGCCGGGTAATTTTTGTATTTTTAGTTAGAGACTGGGTTTTACCATGTTGGCCAAGATGGTCTCCATCTCTTGACCTCGCGATCCACCCCCATCGGCTTCCCAAAGCGCCGGAATTACAGACGGGAGCCACTGCGCCCGGCCTGCCTCTCGACTTTCAATGCCTCACCGCTCCTTAGTGAGGAAGCAAACCCGCAGAGTCTCGGTAATTAAAAGTTGTGAATGTCTCCTTTCCTTTTTCTGATAAATTAAAAGGATTTGACATAGGAAGAAGAGAAGACAGAATTTAGTTATTTTTGGTGATTGCGGTATCGAACTGATAATTTGCTCAATTTTCTTGCAAAATTGCCTAATTTAGAACAACTGAACAGATGGTTTTTTTGTTTTGCCGCGTTCTCTTGTTAACCCGGCAGCCAGCCCCGGGCTCGCCTCGCGTTCCAGCACAGCCCTGGAACTCAGACCACAGAGGGATGGAGCGACGTGGAAACCCCCCCAGAAGAGGGCCGCCCTGGAAACGTCCTTGGGCGATGCCCATTCCTGCCGGAAGAGGGTACTTGGGACACACTCAAGAGCCAGCGCCTGGGCTTGCAGAGCCGGCAGTCAGAAGTCAGCGCCGGCTTTGGCTTCTAAACTGTTTTTCTTCAGTAATTGCCAGGTAAACTGCTTCTCACCTAAAATGTGTCTCCTTTCACTTTCCCAGCTTTAAAAAATGCCCCTTAAATATAATGCCACAAGTAAGATGAACAGCTGCTGAGAAGATGGTTGCTGCTTCTGTGATTGTTCAGGAAATGCAAGACTCGAACATCAGCGCAAGGCTGACCACACTCAGCGTTTCTTGCTTGGACAGTGATTCAGTCCTGAGTCACCCACAGCACCAATGAGAGACCCACAAGCAGGTGCTCACCCACAGGGCAGGTGAGGGGTCGACTCCAGGAGCAGAGCACGCCGTGCCCACCTGCTGGTGTCAGCCGCCTGCTCCTCGTTCTCCAGGTGTGGCTGCGGGTGCCCCTTCTTGTCCTGTACCACCCCTGAGCATCCAGTCATTTATGTCACTCTGCTCCCACCCACTTAAACCACTGGCATCACACACGCCGAGTGCATTCCTGTAGCTCCAAGGTAGCATTGCTCTTTGACCCTGGCCATGCGCCAGAATTGTCCGTGGGGATTTATGAAGATGGGTGGCCAGATACCACCTGGGAGTTCTGTTTTTACAGGTGTGTTGTGGAGTTTGGACACACACACACACACACACACACACACTCAAGCTTCATGGGACAATACGGACATGTAGACTTGACAACTGCTCTTCTGCTGCTACAGATAAAGGCTGATAAGGTGTCACAGTGCTGTCACCCTCATTGTCCACTTCATTACTCCACAGGCAGCCCAACGCTGGGTTCACAGAAATGGTATAGAGGCCAGAGGGCATGAGGATCCAGTTCAGATATCCTAAGAGTATGTTTGGAAATCACATCATCTTTTCCCATCTTTGGGGTGGCACTCACTGCCCTAGAATCACAGGTGTAACTTCTGTCTCTGGCTCTGCCAGCCCTGCCCATTCCCTGCAGTCTCCCACTCAGAGCCCCCAAATTTCTCCATAAAGTTCAAGTTCTCCAAAGTGTGACCAGATCCTCCATGGACCACCTATCTTTGGATGACACTCACCTTGCTGAATCTATCGCTCTTATTCCAGAGTGGGTCCCACAGCTCTACTGGATGATCTTGTTCTCAAGCAAGATAAAACTTTCCCCCAAAGTTGCCTTTTCTCCCTTTCCCAGCTCTACGGGTGCACTTGCTAGATGGGTGATAGTTTTCCACAGCACAGTCATGTTTTGGATACCGACAGCTTAGGTAAAACCACCAAAAATGTCCTGAATAGTTGTCAAAGAATGCCTCATTGAGCTCCTTTTGGGAAATACAGTTTCTACCCAGAATAGAATAAAAGTGAAGATGTAACGGAAAAAGAGAAGTTATTGACAGACTTCTTGTGTGTTTATAATGGTACCTGATGCTGTGTGGTTGCCATGAGACCGGCCCCCAGGTGGCCTAGGATGGAGTGCTATCTATGCAGCTGCCTGGTTTATGTGCACAGTTCCCATGTCCTGATGAGCTGTTAACACAAAAGCTTCCTGTAGTATGCATGTTCTCACAAGGGTGTGTGGTCAGATGAGGGGTGGGTGTGGCAGGATAAGGAGCAGGTGGCAATTCACACGTGGAGCTAAGGCAAGAGCAGTGGAGGCTCTGACAGCCTAGGGCATGAGGGCGAGTCCCTGCACCGGTTTATGCCTCCTGGCCCTCCGGGAGTGGAATATGGTTACGTAAATGTTGAAGGAACCAGATTTGCAGAATAGAGGCCACTGGCCATTATGTAAACTCTCTTCTGAGTCTTAAGAAATGAATGGTCCCCTCCCTGGAAAAGCAAAGATTCTCTGGATGAAAAGTATTGTGGCTGTTCAGTCACTTTAAATCAGAGTTTTTGAAAAGTACATTTTAAAGCTCTTTTGCTATCATACTTTTAAAAATAACAGGAGGTCAGAGTCTTGGGTGGTAAATCAAAATAGAAACAGCTTAATTTGGTGACAGCTGTAAGATATCTTGCTCTTCCCAGAGCTCCTAAACATTGGCCTGCAGGGCGTGTGTCCACCCACCAGGGTCACTTGTTTTACCAAAGCAATCTCGGAAGGGTGGCTGTGGGTGTGTGGGTGGAATGTCACACAGACATCTCATTTCCCCCTCACTTTACATGAGAACATAACTATTTTTCTTCTTAAAATATAGTCTCCTACCCTCACGAGTAAGGAGAGATTGGTACATTTGGCTAAGTGTTGTGTCTAGGAGATTTGGTTTACAGGTCTTCTCCATGCCTTTTCTACTAGAAAGTGTGTGTCAAATAACTTCATTCAGTGTTGGTTAAAATATTTGATCCTTTTTGTTTTTTTTTTTTTTTTTTCTCTTAGCGCAGTTGCTGCTAGGGAATATGTTAGAAGCTATTTCTTTATTTGTTCATTTGTGAACTTTCCTTCTACATGTTCCTTTGCCCTAGATAGCCTGTCAAAGAATTTTAAGCCAAAGAATTTTTCTCCAAATATGCCTGGGGTAAAACAGAATTTTGTAATAGAAATGTAGACAGCCTTCTAGATGTGAACTCTTCTCATGATGTTAAACAGCATCTGTCTTCAAGGACGCATCTGCCTTTAGTGAAGAGGGAAGGTCTGACTTAAAAGGATCATTTTGAGAAAGGCTCCAACAGAGGACACAAATCCTCCCTAAGGGGCAGAGAGCAGAGGGTATTGTTTACAAAGTGGGCTCAGACGTTGGTGGCTTGCGTTCAACTCCCAAATTCATCAGTTACTGAGTTTGTGTGTCGGTGAATGACTTCACCTCTCTGGACCCAGTTTCCCTGTCTTTGACATAGGAATGATGACACAGAAATCATGATATAATGCCTCAAACACGCTCACAACTGTGCTCAGAGCATAGTGACACTTGGCCTGTGCTGTTGACTGTTATTGACAAACCCAAGTTTCTTTTCTCTTACAACTTCATGGAGAAATAGGTCTTCTTTGAATGTGCCTTGTGGTACCAGGGGACCTCACAAACCTCTTCAACCTTTGGTTGTCTAAGCAAGCCTGGGAAATGTAGCAGTGCATCCTTGAAAAAATCCTCATTTTTATGCTGTTGTTCAACCTTAAATGGTTTCCCCAGGATAAGGGAAACTTTACTACATTTCCATCGGAATAGCAATCTCAGCATCATTTTCACGGCATATTTCCCTTGCAATATTCCATTTTGGTCACCTGCAAGTTCACATTTTTTCTTATCTCAGGAAGTTCAGGTCAGTTTTTCATAAATATTGCTACAGCAAAGTAAATGATTTGGAAGGAAAAATTCCAACCTCTGCACTTTCCACTGACAATGGTCCTGATAAAAAGTAATTGGTCCTGAGTTCTTTTTGCTCTCCCTGACCAGCCCATTGACTTGTGAGTTTTTTAGAAGGAAGAAGCCTCAGGTTCACTGAACCCAAGCCCATCGTTTTACAGATGAGGAGACTGAGGCCAAAGAGATAAGTTTCACTCAGTTTAAATGAAAAGCAGAATAAAACTTTTAATTTAGGTCCTGTTACCCCAGCGTGTGTGTGTGTGTGTGTGTGTGTGTGTGTGTGTATTTTTTTTTTAACTACTCAGAACAAGAGTTACTCTTACAAGATTGAGTAAGAGAAAAGCTATAAAGTGCACAGCTGGGCATGTTTTCAAAACACCAATGTGATGAATTTTAACACTAAATGTGAGCTTTTTGAGAACCATCTATTTATTTGTAAAATGTAAAATAAAGCCCCAGCAGGGAACTTCTGGAAGCCACTGAGTGCTCAGCACTCCCTTCCTAGAGATTATTGAGGAGGTTATTCAGTGCCTGGCTGCTGTGAATTTCTTAGTGGGTGAGGAAGAAATGTTTTCTTTTTTGAAACTCATTAACTCCCAATGAAGAAGTCATTTGGGAATGGAGAAGGAAACAGGCTCATCCTTCCTTTTCATTCCGGGATTTATCCAGAAGAGGCAGGTGCCTGGTGAGGGAACTGCCTAACTCAAATTTCTATGTCACTTGTATCGACCTAAAATGAAATAAAAATAAAAAACCCTAAAACATCACATTTCCATCATTAAAGAGACCTAGGAAGGGAAGGCTTATGGCTGGCTTCTTCACAATCCAACTGTAACTAGGTTAGCCGGATCCTGGCATCTGTATCTCCTGCTGGGTGAGGGTCACAGGATCTCAGCACCCAGGCGAGGCAACGGTGTTGAAAGAGGCTTCAGAAGAACTGGGCCAGAACAATGGAATCACACGGAGAAGACTGTAAATTCAACCAGCGTGGGGAATGGCCGGAGGGCGTCTGTTGGCCCAGCAAGGATTGAAAACAAACAAAGGTTCCCAGCAACAGGGCCACAGCAAAGCTCTCCAGGGTGTCCGCATACCTGCCCCAGACCGACAGCTGATGATAGCTTGTGACTGTGCCATCCAAGGAGACGTAGATTTTTGGTCTTCATCTGATTCTGGGCACAGAGCTTCTAAGACCCTTGGAATCTCTAGAGTGGTCAGAGTGGCTTTTGTGTATTCAGGACAGGACTGGGAGCTGGGGACCCCTAGCCAGCTTCAGGGTGGGTCTGGGGTTCAGAAAGACCAAGGCAGCACCAGAGGGTTGGAGCTCTCAGTCTCCAATCCAACTTCTGATATGGAGGAGGGAGAGGGCTGGAGAGGAGCCAATCCCCAATGGCCAAGGATGTAATCAACCACGTCTATAGTGACACCTCTGTAAAACCCTAAATGGTGGAGGTTGGAGAGCTTGCAGGTTGGGGAAAAGCTTGACGTTCTGGAAGGGCAGCATCCTGACTCCCCAGGGACAGAAGCACCTGCATTTGGAACCCCCCCACCCCCTGTCACCCAGGCCTGGAGCAATGCATCTCTTCATCTGGCTGTTCACAGGTCCTTCATAACGCACTGGTAATAGTAGGTAAAGGTGTTGCCCTGGGTGCCATGCGCCATTCTGGCAAGTTATTGACCTCGAGTAGAAGGCCGTGGGAACCCTGATTTTTAAGTGGTCGGTCAGAAGCAAGGGAGGCCGGAAACTTGCCATTGGCGAAGTGGGGGCAGTCTCATGGGACTGAGACCTTGACCTGTGGGGTCTGCCCTAATTTTAGAACTGGATTCAGTTGTAGAATACACAGTTGGTGTCCAGAGATATGGAGAACTGGTCATGGTGAGAGATAAACCACACACTTGGTATTAGAAGAGGTGGAAGAAATAGATCATAGGGCCTTCCGTGTCACAGAGGGCGGCTTGATTTGTTTCGCCTGCTGTAGTTTCTTTATTAATGGGTGTGTGACTTTATTCTTTGAAAGGCTTAGAATTGAGAAAAGAGAGAATAAAATAAATCAGACCCATAGAATCCACACTTCTTGGTTTTTAGAAACAATTTGTTTATATTTTGTATTTTAAGTAATTGTAATATTTAAGAGAATCTGATACACAGAGCATCCAAGGGATAGCCTCATGATTCCAGATGAATTGCATAGTTAAATTTAAACTTGCAACTTTAAATGGAAAGGCATAAATTAATTTATTAACACTTGTACACAGGACTGGATTGTTTAACAGAACTTGAGAATGACTTTATTAATTTGTTTTGAAGTTTATTACATTTACTTGAGATGGTAAATATGTGTAAAGTTTTTGTTTAAAAGTGAGACCATTGAAGTGAATATAAGGAAACCATAGTAAATTAAATTCATAAATACAGTGTGAAATATTTACAAGCATTAATTAATAGAGTATTGGAAGCCCCATAGTAAGTGCTAAAATTTACCATGTTTATATATAGAATAAAATGACATAAACCTAACAACAGAAGAAGTAACATTTTTGTATTTGATAACGTAACCACTGAATGTTAATAAAATAGCAAAAACAAGGAACAGCAATCAGTCTGTCTATGCCCCAAAGTCTCTCTCAAGGGCACTGAGCAACTAATTTTGATATTAACTAATATTTTTAAAAATACAAACATACATATGCTTACTGTTATTAGAAAAGAATGTTTTATTATTTACCAGAAAAAGTACTGTAAGTTCCCATTTCAGAGGTAAATATCCACCTCGAAAAAAAGAATCCATACACATTAGATTTCAATTATTCTGCAAGTATTTATCACACACCTCTGGGCTCCACTGGGGGCTGGTTCAGGTTCTATCTAACGTGGGGGCTGTGGTCCTGCCTCCTGGTTCTTGGTCTTGGACTTAGGTCTAGGTGGGCAGGCCAATGTGGACCAATGCATCAGGCGAGTAAGTAACCAGAAGTGGAGACAGGGATGGAGGCCTGCCCTGCAGGGCAGCCATAGGAAGCTTCCCTGAGTCAGTGGGGACTGAGCTGAGCAATGAAGAACGGGGGTGCCCCTACTGGGCGAGGACCCAGCAGGCAGGAGGATGGCTGAGCCACACGAGGGCAGGGAGCATGCCAATGCAGCCGCCTGCTTCTTCCTTAGTGTGGAGCAGACAGGAAGTGCTCCATGCACACACTTCCTGTCTGTTCCTGTGGAAAGAGCGAATGAGGGGCATGGCAGAGGGAGCATGATATCAGGACACTTCCAGGCCCCAAGAGTACAAGGCAGGTGTGTAGAGAGAGCTGGAGAGGCCATTGGCAGGGAGAGGGACGTCGGGTGGTGCCCAGGGCCATGGATGGTGCCCAGGGCCATGGATGGTGCCAAGGGCCACAGATGGTGCCCAGGGCCACGTGGCTGCTGCATGCAGGACTCAGTTTCTCCTAAGGCCGCTTGGTCTCCATCATCTGTGGTCCTCACCAGTAGGTTGACTTCCTTGGCAACCTTCCAAGCAGTGGTATTAACTAGTGAGGCCAGGACTCCTAGACACACAAGGAGCGCTGCCGGGGGAGGCTTCCTCCCAGCTGGGAAGCGGGCAGCACTCCCACCCGGAGCCCACCTGCTGGAGGATGAAGCGCCATGCCCTCGGAACAGCCGCCGCTACATTCAGGGATCCCCCACCTCCTCCAGGGATTCCAACCTTCCAGTGTTTTCCCGAGAGGAGAACAGGAAAACAGAGCTCCCTGTAATTTCAGAGTGAGGCAGAGAAGACCAGGGCGCTGATCTGAAAGCAAAGGTGGTCTGCGTGGGAGCACGGAGAGGGAGAGGTGCTGGAACTGCCTCCTGTCTCCTGCAGGGCTGTCCCTGCCTGGCACGTTAGGATTCACCCAGCCCACCAGAGGTGGGAGTAGAGGAGTAGAGGGGTAGAGGGGTCGAGGGGTTGAGGGGTCGAGGGGTAGAGGGGTAGAGAGGTCTCCGTCCATGGCGTCGTTATATCATGTCATGGCCTCACGTGTGCATTCTCTGCTGTTACCCTTGTTCCTTAAAGACAATGCCTGTCGATCCATGGGCAACCAATTTCACTGTTATTCTTATTTATGGATAAGGAAATGGTTACGGTGTGTACCCAACAGCCATGCTTCCTTTCCTTCTTGAGAGGCGCCAGCTTCCAGGTTCCTTCCATGAGTGTGAGCTCACTAGCTCCACAAGCACTTGTTAATACTGAATGAATAAAGATGAACTTCTTCTCATATGACTCACACAGTAGGATTTTATTAATCTGCAATAAGGTGGGAAAAGACTAGTCTGAATTAGGAAATGCTACTTTGTTTATTTTTCCAGCTGCCTTATTATTTTCAAGTGCGTGTCACAACCTACAGGAAGCTTACACGATGTGGTCCCAGAAATGATGGATCTGGGGATCTGCTCTGATAAGATGAGAAGGCTGATATTGATAAGGATTTCAAAGATATCTGTACACATCAATTGCTCTGTAATACTTCAAGATACTTGCAAAACATTTTCTCTTTAAGTTCTTTAAACCTTGTCTTTGGTGAATTTCATCATTCATCAGGCTCTATGTGAAACAAAGTTCTTGCTAAGAAAGGCAAAGCTCAATGTAGCTCTAAACTGAGCCAAGTTAATTACTTTTGGTTGAATGAAGGTTCGCTCTATTTTTGAAATCAGGGAGATAATTACCACATAAAAGTGAACGTGTACAAGTAGGAATAGAAGACAGGATATTTGACTTCTACGATGATTATTTTTTCCTCTAACACAATTTTTCCATAAGAACAACTACTGCCCACTGACCAATCCCTATAAACAAGCTGCAATTATAGCAACAGCAATATACAGTAACAATATTATTTCATGTTCTCACTTTATTTGAATCTTAGACCAGTCTTGACTCTTGACTTTGATGCTTTTCACCTCAAAATGGCTATTAATACCTTTTTCTGGCCTCTCAGAATTTAATCTCCTGGCTGGGCCATTAATCTTCTAACCCAGAAAAAAGCAGATTAGTCACTATTTATTTCTTTGTTTAGAACAACATAGATTACAAAATTTAATTTCTTAAACTTGCCCATATGGACTTGATCTCCAGACTTTTATAACCATAACATATACCAGGATCTTGGGTCTTACTGAAATACCACTCTTTTTTTTTTTTTTTTAAAGATTTACATTTTTGTTTACTTTTTACGCATTGCAAATACCTTTCCATTTAGAAATTATTTCACAAATGTACAATTAATATTCCTGGCTAATATTTATTCTCTGGACTTTTAGTTTTCTTTTTTTGTCTTTATCAATTAGACTAAAGCATGGGATGTTTTCATCAGTTCAAAGCTAGCAACCAAGCCTGGAGTTATGCTGCTGGCAGGCATTCCCCCTCTTCAGTTAATGTTTACTCTCCTGGTTTAAACTTTTCCATGTAAATTATTGTTGAGAGCTGCATTTCTGTGGTGTGGGGCTGTAAGAAGCTTCCCTTTGCTTTCCTTCCTACTCTGCCTTCCTCAGTTGGAGCTGGACTTTTTCTTGGAAAGGGCTGGGCTTTGCAGGCAACTGCCATGAGGTCCGAGGAGGGGCTGGCCGGTCAGGATCTCGAGTCCTGCCTCTCCTGGCTGAGGTCCTTTGGAAGCTCACTTCATTCCCAGAAAGAGCTCCGGGCCTAAGGGAATGCTCCTGAGACCCGGGAGGAAGAGGTACCCCGTACTCTGCCAGTGTTGCCTCATGTGGGTGGTGGGAAGATTTCCCCTGCCCAGGCTTCGTGTTCTCCTCCCTTTCTGCCTTCCCTGTGGCCCTGTAGTCTGTGGCCCTCCTCCATCAGATGACTGCGGTGCTGGGTCCCCTGTCCCGCGTGCAGGTGCCTGCCTGGTGTTCCGGGTCCCCTGTCCCGCGTGCAGGTGCCTGCCTGGTGTTCTGGGTCCCCTGCCCTGCATGCAGGTGCCTGCGTGGTTTGCTTTCAGATCGGCTCCCTGGTCATCTCTGCCCCAGAGATGTAATTTGGTAATTACAGGGAGCTCTGTTTTCCTGGCGCCTTTTGGGTTGAACTTCTGGGGAGTTGAAAGGGTGTTCCTCCTCTCTTCTTCATTGGGCAACGCCTCCCCTTGGCCCCAGACTGTGAATGTGGCCCCATCTGGAAGAACCACTGAGGCTTCCGCTCCAGGACCCTGAGAACACACCTGCCTCCCTCCGTCTCGTCCATCCCCAGGGTGGTAAAGCCTTTGTGAACTGGCTAACATCTGGGTTACCACCCTGCTGTTTGGCTTCTCCACTTGTACATGACCCCGATAGCCAATGCCCTGTATTCAATTCTCCTTTGGAATTCCTAGAATGGATTCTGTTTTCTGACTGGAGGCTGACTGGCCCTCCTGGATGCTGCAGAGTGGAGCTTCCCAGGACAAATCCCTTTTGCTGATTCCATCTAATCTCACACCTGTGACTTACCTGGCAGGCTACAAGCCATCTCTCCATCAGAAGTACGCTGGGAAGGCACAAATGGGACACATCTAGCAGGGATAGGGCAGGGCAGAGGACAGGCAAGAACCCCATCCTTTGACGTCTTAGGCAGAATAAAAGAACTGAGGGGATAAACTCGTTTCTTCATTATGTCAACAAATATATGTTTTTTTTAGGCCAGGTATGTTTCTGGACACTGGAGATATAGCTTGGACCAGCACAAAGCTTCTCTCTGTGGAGTTTATAAGAGGATTACAGACAAATAAATAAAGCCACACCTTCCTAAGCAGATAAATTATAAGAAGAAAAATAAATAGGGTGAGAGGAGAGTGGCTGGGAAGGTTTGTGGGGAAGCCTTCTCTTGGGAGGTGATGTCTGCGGGGAGACCAAATAATTCCCTGTCCTGGCAGCACCTTCCAGCTCTGAATCCACCTCAAGCAGCAAAGAAAAGAATGAACAACATCACTGGGGTTAGTTCCGCTTCCTCTGCTGTCCGAGTGATCAGGTGTGCTTAGTCAGGAAGTGAGTCTCTACATTCACAAAAATATTAGCAACCCAAATTCAAGCTACCCCATAACCAGACTCCATGGTTTGCAAATAAAGATCAAGAAGGATGGATATAAAATCTATGGATATATGGCCATATATACAAAGAACACATTTATTGGGGGTGGAACAGGAAAGTTAGAACCGATGTTCTTCCTGTCTGTCTGTCTGTCTGTCTACCCATTTATCTCTTTATGTCATTGTTTTTGTTTCTCTGGAGAGCCCTAACTAACACAGAGAGAAAAGGCTCTGAAGGGAGATGCTGTGCTTCATGCCCTGAGGTACAGGGGAGTGCAGAGATTAATTGAAAAACAGAGACTCTATGGCCAAACGCGTGCGGAGTGACAGGGTAGCCTAGAGGTATATGACTTCCATGTAAAAATAAAATCAACACATGTCAAAGAATGTGTTTAACTCATCAATAAATGAGAGAAGCATAAGATATCAACTCGTTCAATAGCACACGTGGAGCACAAGGTACGCATAGGCAGTCGGAATGCAGAATGAACTTGCTAATAGGCACAAACTGCTAAATGTCCTCTAGGCCAATAAGAGGTGACTCACCTGCTTGATAACTGAATGCCATTGTTTCTGCTCAGGATGCACGGGCTGCACACAACAAAATACCTGTTGGGCAGAGCTTCTGCAATACACCTGACAGTGAGAGCTTCTGCAGACAGCACAGGTAACAGGAAGTGTGGGGGATGCTGAAATAAGAACAGGACTGTGTAGGGCTCCCCCAGGAATACCCTGGGCCCTCCTGCCTCCCGCTCCCTACTTGGTGTGCTTTCCTGGTGCTTCGTGGCATCCAGACACCTACCTGTCCAGGACACCTGTCCACACTCAAGACAGAAGTGAGAGGGATGGTGCCAATCTTACTGACCTTTATCAGAAAAGAAAAATGCCCTAGAATCTCCCATGTGGCACCTGCCTATGCCTCACTGGCATTGGAACTATGTGCTACATCCCACAGTCTCTTCTAGGCATAAAAAAGGAAAATAGGCATCACATCTCAGAGCCTCCCAGGGGGAGAGGACAAGGGGAGGAGGTGTGAGGTCAGGTGCTGAGACCTGGAGTGCACAGTCCCTGCCAAGAAGTCTGTGCCGTTTTATGCAAAAGCATTCATGTTTTAAAATCAGTGTGTACAATTAAGGGAATACACTCACAGAGCTCCTTCCTGTGTGTGTGGATGGTGGGGTGGTCAGCTTCGATTGTACAAAGCAGAGATCCACAAATGAGCAGAAGCATGACATTAAAAAGATGTACAGAGGCCAATTAATTTCAGGTTGTTGGCGTGAGTCATTGTGGCCTAGGGTAGTATCTCATAAATGTGTCCTTTCCCAGGGAATGTTGTTTTAGAAGGAGATTTGTGAGATTTGTGAATCAATGCAAAAAATGTACCAAAAGTCATTGTAAATCAAAAAACAAAACAAAACAAAGCAAAACAGTGGCAGAAGAAGTTATTCAGGTCATCTGAGCCAGGGAAGGTAGAGATCATTTCAGATGAGATATTAGAGAAACTGGCCCCCTTTTGGGCCTGTGAAAGTGTGTGAAGGACAGAAACATTGCAAACATGGATATCCCACTTTCAGAGTGAAGTCACGCAGGAGCCAGGCCTTGGCTGGAGAGTTTGCGTTCATTATTCCACCTGCTGCTCCCTGAAGTCTTGGGAGGTGTTTCCCTTGTACCAATGAGGGGCTCAGGGCACACAGGACCTAAGTCCTAAGTGCAGCAAGTCCACGGGATGCAGTGAAATATCCCGGCCTCCTCTCCGTCTTGATGGCTAGCCCCGAAGGACACTTGTTTAAGAAAGAAATATTTTTGTGGTGGCCTCCACAAACAGGGTCCTGTGTGTAACAGCCACACACAATTGCCTTCCAGACCAACACCGAGATCCTGTGGACATGAGTGTGAACAGCGAGACAGCCACACGTTTCCATGCACAATGTGGGCAGTTTCTTTTCTTTTTTTTTTTTGAGACAAGGTCTCCCTCTGTCTCCCAGGCTGAAGTGCAGTGGCACGATCTCTGCTCACTGCAACCTCATGTGTGTGGTTTTTTTTTGTCGGTGAAAAAAGGCTATAAGCACTCTGTGACACTTCTAACCTTCAAGAAGTTTCCTTAAAATACTCACCTTCTTTTTAAAGAAGGAGGGGTTATGGTTTTTGAAAAAGGACACAAGCAAACCATAGAAATGATAATTTTTGGGCCAGGTGTGGTGGCTTATGCCTGGGAGACCGAGGGGGGTAGATCATGAGGTCAGGAGTTTGAGACCAGCCTGACCAACATGGTGAAACCCCGTCTCTACTAAAAATACAAAAAATTAGCCAGATGTGGTGATGGGCGCCTGTAATCCCAGCTACTAAGGGAGGATAAGCCTGGGTGACAGAGCAAGACTCTGTCTCAAAAAAAAAAAAAAAAAAAGATTTTCTGGGTTTCAAAATATCCAGCGTCTGGAGCACTCTATCCCTTGGAAAAATCTTCTGTCCACTCTGCTTCCTTGTGGCCGTGGTCGTGGACTGGTTTGTTCGTGACACTGATGCATCCAAATTCCTTCTGAATAAGGAGGACTCTTTGTATCTTTGTGTCTTCGTATGAATAACCTAAGAGCATTCCTGAAGCCTAGCCTGGCACTTCTGAGTTGCACGTCTTCTTAGATTTCAGGCTGGCTTGCGGCTTTCCATGGAGCCTTATCTCTCAGGCCAAAGAGGAGAGTGGGCTCAGCAGAGTGGCTTCTGCTCTCATCTGCGGCCCACGCTGAGCCGGGAAACTTCAGCATCCTCGCTTCAAACAGAGGCTTTCAAAGGCATTTTAAAAAGTCCAAGGAAGAAAAGGAAACAAATATTGAGCTATTACAGAGTTTTTAAGCGAGACATGTTTATTAGGCAGATTTTATTCTCTCTTGCACATTCAAAGACATCTGATTAAACCATCCAAGGGACGTTGACAAAGCCTTTATCTGTCTGGGCAGGATAGATAAACTGTTTCTTGGCAGATTTTGATCATCTCTCAGGCTCGACACCTAGGGAGAAACTCCAACAGCGTGTCGTGTGAGGCAGAAGTGTCAGCCACACATAATCTAGACCGCAGCTTCCTGAACTCCTGTCTGAAGCTCGTCTGCAGAGCAGCTGCAGGTTGGGGCTTGGTGCCTGCTGCGGGTGCTTATGGTGTGTGGGATGATTTGGTGTGATACCAGGGACGATCATAGAGACGTAGGTAAAAACATGGCAAGAAGCAAATTGTTTTAAGGAAGCACATTCTTCAGCCTTCTTTAGAAATACAGTTTCATGTCGACAGAGAAACACTTTTCCCAGCACTCAGGGAACCTCTGTGTCCCCCTTGTCTATGCGTGCTTGTGTGGTTTCCAGAACGGTCACAGGGCCGACCAGTGCAACCAGGACTCTGAGAAACACGGGTTTCCAATGCTCAGCCTTTCTGCATTGACCTCGCCATTTTTTTCCCTGGCAGCAAATAACACATGGGATCTCTACAGGACTTCTTATCAGGAGGCTCAACTGACTTACACAGATACATCTCTCAGATTTTGACAGGCTTCTCCTTTTGATATCATTGAATAGATGGATATTTTGGGGCAAAAGTGAGTAAAGAAAATGCTATAAATTATTTGTTCCTACTGCTGATGTATCCACTGGTTTCATTTCCAACGACGTTAAACATTCACATTTCCGTACAACTTACTCCTGCCATTGATGGCTCATGTCGCATCCTCATATCCTCATTTTCTTAATTTTCTTATTTTTCCTGGTGCTTTTCATTTCTCATTAGTTTGGTTTGGTTGAGTCTGACTGATGTGTTCATCACTATTTCTAAATTAAGGGGTCAAGTGATTAAATTGGGCCCATCGTGGTCATCCAAAATAATCTCTCCATCTCAAGGTGGTTCATTTAATCACACCTGCAAAATCCGTTTTGCCGCAGAAGGTAACAGATCCACGGGATCCAGGGATGAGGACATCTTTGTGGAGCATTTATTCTGTCTACCACGATAGACTCGAATTACTACTATTTTGGGCATGAGGAACCAAGACACAGAGAAGTTCAATATTTTGTTCAAGGCTCCACAGATGGATTGTTGTGAACCCAGGCAGGTGACTTCCAGAGCCCACCTTGATAATCACCATTCTATGCTCTAATGGGAAAAAAATACCTGACATATTTTAAAAGACAGAATTGAGTTTTGTCAAATGGTTTGATGAAATACTAACTCTGGAAAGGTCAAGGCTGGGATCGGTGGCTCAAGCCTGTCATCACAGCACTTTGGGAGGCCAAGGGAGGTGGATCACCTGAGATAAGATGTTCAAGACCAGCCTGGCCAACATGATGAAACCCCATCTCTACTAAAAATACAAAAATTAGCCAGGCGTGGTGGCCCATGCCTGTAATCCCAGCTACTCAGGAGGCTGAGGCAGGAGAATCACTTGAACCTGGGAGGTGGAAGTTGCAGTGAGCCGAGATCGCGCCACTGCACTCCAGCCTGGACAACAGAGCAAGACTCCATCTCAAAGGAAAAAAAAAAGGAAATACAAAACTGACTGCGTATCAGGAGGTTCTCCAGAAGGAGAATAAATGAGTAGACGCAAACTGGTGCAGGAATGGACTGCAGGGTCTACGGCCAGCAGAAGTCCCAAGGAGGAAGTGGGCAGATCTGCAGAGGGGAGGGGGCATCCATATGGGCCAACCCTCCTAGTGACGCTTCGACTTAAAAGAAGGCGCATCAGCCTCCTGCGGGGAGCAGGGAGGACGGTGGCTCTCAGAGCAAAACGTGGAAGGCATGGAGCAGCAGGACCCTAAGTCATTTCATGGGGTGGGAGGAAAAACTGTGTGTTTGTGTGTGTGTGATTGTGTAGGTGTGTGTGTCTGTGTGAGATTATGTGTGTGTTTGTATGTGTGTGATTGTGTGTGTGTGTGTGAGAGCTTGTGTGCATGTCTGTGTGGGGTTGTGTATTTGGTTGTGTGTGTGTGATTGTGTGCGTGTCTGTGTGGGATTGTGTGGTTGTGTGTGATTGTGTGTGGGTGTTTGTGTGTGATTGTGTGTGTGATTGTGTAGGTGTGTGTGTCTGTGTGAGATTATGTGTGTGTTTGTATGTGTGTGATTGTGTCTGTGTGTGAGAGAGATTGTGTGCATGTCTGTGTGGGGTTCTGTATTTGGTTGTGTGTGTGTGTGAGAGACTGTGCATGTCTCTGTGGGGTTGTGTATTTGGTTGTGTGTGTGTGTGATTGTGTGCGTGTCTGTGTGGGATTGTGTATTTGGTTGTGTGTGTGATTGTGTGTGGGTGTTTTTGTGTGATTGTGTGTGTGTGATTGTGTATGTGTGTTTGTGTTGTGATTGCGTGTGTGTGTGTGATTGTGTTTGTACACACTGTGCTGGGTTAGCTGATTCTGAGCGTCTGGCTGGCATCAGATGATGAAAAGCCGTTCACGGCCTGGAGGGAACTGGGGCATGTGCTAAGGTGGTCTGACTTACTCTTGCAGGTTAGAGGTAACAAACCAGGTACCTGGCCCACAGCTGTGATTTGTTTGTGTGCTTGAAGTTAACTCATAGTATTTTAACTTTATTTAATTAACTTCCAACTTTTAAAAACTCTAGATATTTTAATTTAAAAATTCAGATTACTAGTATTTCTTGAGAAATAAAAAAAAGAATGTGGCCATTGTAGGTCCAGATGTTTCCCCGACAGTACTTGACAGGTGTTGCGCAGCTGCCTCCTCCTTGGGGCTGAAGGAATGCTCCTGGCTTGCCACAGTTTTCTCCCTCCACACTGTCCCTCCAGCAGGGAGGCCAAGGGTTACTTGCTAGTTGCCATTGAGCTCAGGCTGTTGTTTTTCTCATAGTAGCCAACTTGCATAAGATCCACCCCACCTAGATACAGGACTTTTTTCATCTCCTGTGGCAGCAGGGGGAGAAAGGGAGGAGTGTTAAGCCGTGGAGTGGCACCATCAGACTTGAGTTTCAGAAGCACAACACTGGAAGCCACATTGGAGAGCAGGCAGAGCCAGGGGAATGAATGGACGGAGGGAGGTGAGCAGGACAGTCATTCAGTAATCTGGGAAGACTAAGCCGAGTGCGGCAGAGAGAAGGAGATCTGAAGGAAGCACGGTCCATCGTGTCAACGTCACTATGGAGCCCTGTCATGTGATAAGCTTGCACTGCACCTGTTCTTCTTCATCCTCTGGCTGCTGTGAGGCTCTAAGGAGCTCTGTCATCAGTGCATGTCTGTCCTTGAGCTGAGGGTGAGTTCCTCAGAGCTTGGATGTATCTTCACTTCCTTTCCGTCCTCGCACACTCACGGGTGGAATATTATTCGCACGCAGGTGTCCATAAGTTATTGTGACCAACAATTAATGGGTGTCCCAGATTCAATTATGTACAGAAGGGCCCACATCAATGGAGGTTTTCAAGGTAAAAGGAGGTTTTTCTCACGTATGTGATCTCTGGTTTAATTAGTAGTTCTCAATTGGGAAGGGAGGAGAGACCTGCAGATTCTCCAATGGGTGGTGTTTAGTTTGAGAAAAGTACGTATCGCTATGGTTTTCATAATGGAAAGTCCATAAATTAAACCCAGAAAAATATCTCTTTGGTGCCGGGGATTGGCAGAAGACAGAAAGCACAGCTGAGCATGAATAAAAGAAGCAAAGACACACTCTTTAAATAATTGTCTTATGAAGCATGGTTTTTATGGTGTCTGTATTTAGGAAATTCCACTTTTAGAGGAAATTCCAAGTCACTATCCACATATTAGTTCTGTCTTGGGGATCCGGTCAGTCTGTTTCTATTGCATAGTTGGGGTCCCCCATTGGGCCTCAGAACAGCAGGCTCAGTAGTATCTGTTTTCTGATTTGTCTGGGTTAAAAACAAGAAGTACCACCCTTATAGAATATTTAATCCAGAAGACACCCCCAAGGGTGATGCTATGGTTGCTAATTATCCCAGAGACATTTTTTATCCCTGGGATGAACATGTGTGTCTTGTCTTGTAACTCTTGGAGTAGACATGGAAAATGTGAGTATCATTTCCTATTATTTTCTCTGTTTAGCTTAAGTGTTATAGAAGTAGAGAGAGAATTTTAGTTAAAACCAAGGGGTCCTCTGGGGTTCATTCCAACTCTAGAAAGGACAATAAAACTAAGAATAGGAATGGAAACAAAAAACACAAAGACGGAGGTTTATAACAATGTGAAGAGGATATCAGGCCCCTGGTGTTTTGTTGCATTTATGGTTGTTTATTCAATAAACAAGTTGTAAACTCATTGCCTGTGTACCCTGTTTTCAAACAGGTAGCTGGGTGGGTCTGCAGCGGGACAGACCTGTATTAGATGGGGTTTCTCGGGGCGCAGAGACCGCCTTCTGCATTTCTCTCCACACTTTGGTGTTGGCTGCTTGGGTGAGGGAATAAACAGACCTCTGTGTTACACTGGCACAGTCCTGGTCTACCAGAGGGAGCTCGGAAATAGAGTCAGATAAGCCGCAGTGAATCCCCAAAGAAAGGAGCAGGAGCCTTTGCCGTGACCTCTCTTCTCTCTCTTCTTGCCTGGAAGCTTCTCTGAATTCTCAGTGCATTAACTAGGATCTGCTTTGAGGGTGAACAGCACTCCTTTCCACATGCAGGAAGAATTTCTTCTTGGATTGTGTTTGTTGTGTGAGGGGCTTAGTTGACTTGCAACTCTCACTCCATTTGGTATGAGACCTACTTGTCTTAGAATATCGCTATCCAGATGAATAGACTTGAGGTACTCTATAACCTGCAATCTCCCAGGGGGTCCTAGAATCCTACAGTTTAATTAGTAATGCTCTCAGCTTTCTTTTTGCCTCTCTTGATAATTGCTGTGTGTATTATGAATATGGATTTTAATGGGATGTTTGGAAGCGGGATGGGAAGGGGGCTGAACAACAGTATTCCATTTATTCCTTAGCCTGGTGTTTATTAACTTAAATAATCTATTGTTTCAGACACTGCCTGAGGGACTAGGGATGAATGAATGAAATTACACCCGGTAGGGAAAAACGCACAGTATGTTCAATGGCAGTAAGTTCTATGCGAAAGAAAATGGCACTGGGGTTTGGGCATGCAGGGAGGGTTGCCCTGGTGGAGTTCAGTCCTGGAGCAGGCAGTCAGGTAGGTCTCACTGAGAAGGTAGGAGGGAGTGAGGATGTGAAACTACTCAGTGCTGGACTAAGAGGTGTAAAGAAAAAAGGGAGGAGGGTGATCAGAGACACCCAAGGAGGACCTCTCTTGGGAGGATCATTGTTGCAAAAGGGAGCAAAGAAATGGGGTGAGAGCGGGAATGAGGTGAAGAGAGATATTCTTTAAGATGGGGAAAGGATAACACTTTACTCTGAAGGAATGACAGGTGCAAAGGAGATTTCTGACATGAGGGAGCAGGGGCAATTGCCAAGTACTGCTCTTGACTGAGCTACAGAGGTGGGCGGAGTTGTCCTTGGCTTGGAAACATGAGGAACACACCCATAGCATGAGGGACAGAGCCCAGGGACACGCTGGGAGGCTGTGGATGTGGGGAGGGCACTGAGCAGTTCTCCCAATGGCTCCCACTTCTCAGTGAGGTCGGAGCCACAGTCATCAGCTGAGAGTAGGGCGGGGAAGAAACCGCACTAGGGAAAGGTTTGAAGATAATGGACAAAGCAGTAGAGAAGTCATGCCTTTGGGGTGAGATGGAAGGTTGGATTCAAGAGGGGTGACCTTGTTTCCTTCCTTATCATCTCATTTTGCTGCACTTGTTCATGTGACCCACCTCAGTACTTGTGAAGTCAGTGTGGGGGTTCAAGTGCAGAAAGGACAGAAAGTGGACGAGTCCCGGCATCTTAGTGACACAGAGGGACTTTGACAGGGAGCACTGTCTGGCTGCAGGACTGTCCGGGACAGAGTCCCCGTCCTCGGCTTCTTCACCATTCCTGGGCTTCCTGGAGTCCCCAGCCAGCTGGGGAGAAGAGCCAGCCAGTCCTCTTCTTTCTCCTGGGCTGTCAGTGCAGAGCTGGCTAGGAGGGAAGTGTTCCAGGTGCGTCTTTATCCGTGTTTAATATGTGCTAGGTGTAGCTTTGTAAATACCTCTAATTTAAAACCACCACGATTATCACACCACGTAATAAAATGCCAGTGATACATGGGGGTAAGATAGAAAAGTCCTAAAAGTTATAGGGAAATATTAGGAAAAGAACATGGGAATAATGCATGTCACAGGGTTTGGGGGAAAACTTGGGTGAGTAAAGTAGTGTTGAGAGAATGAAGGTCTTTGGAAGAGGCAGAGGAACAGAAACTGGAATGGGACATTCACAAAGGTGAAGGCGGAAAAGGGAAGGGAGGAATTCAAGGGAACCTCAGAGAGAAGAGAATTTTGCATGATCGGAACCCAAGCTCAGAGCGGGGAGTGGTTCAGGGAACTGAGTTCCAGAGTATGGGCGGGGCTCCCTGGCAAGGAGCAGAGCTCAGCTTGAGCAGGGGGTCAGCAGCATGCTGCATTGCAAGCTTCAGCAGCATGCCGGTCTTCTGTGCAGCTGCTAAACTCCAGCTCCACTCTAGAGCTGGTCATTCTGAAGGTCACGGCAGGCACAGAGGTGTTGGGATAGACACACTCCATGGGCCACACTTGGGAGAACGCTAGTCTAGACTTTAACCACTCTCTGGTTCGTGCTTACTTCACTAAGCTAAACATGTGACCATGTTAATGGAAAAGCTGATTTATTTCCAGATATACATATTAAAAAGTTAATTTATTTCCAGATACACATATTAAATGTTCTAAATAACTAATGTATCATTTGGAGAGATAATCAAAGATTTAGAAAAAAAAGAATATTTTCCATAGAGTGACAGATATGGTTTGGCTGTGTCCCCACCCAAATCTCTTCTTGAACTGTAGTTCCCATAATCCCCATGTGCCATGGAAGGGACCCGGTGGGAGGTAATTGAATCATGGGAGTGGGCTTTCTCATGCTGTTCTCGTGATAGTGACTAAGTCTCATGAGATCTCATGGTTTTATAAAGGGCAGTTCCCCTGCACACACTCTCTTGCCTGTCACCATGTAAGACATGCCTTTGTTCCCCTTCACCTTCCCCCATGATCGTGAGGCCTCCACAGCCACCTGAAGCAGTAAGTCCATTAAACCTCCTTTTCTTTATAAACTACCCAGTCTTGTGTATTTCTTCATAGCAGTATGAAAATGGACTAATAAACACCTATGTCAATAATTAGGAGGATTGTAGGTGCTGAAAGCGGTAAAACTTAAGAGTTACCACTTACATTCTTTACCGAACATTTTTACTATTTAATTATGTTGCTTGTGGAATCAGTTGCCGTTATGTCACTGGGACAAATCATGATGAACTGTGAATCTATTAATCCTCTTTTTCTTTATAAATTACCCAGTCTTGGGTATTTCTTCATTGCAGTGTGAAAATGGACTAATCCAGTGACAATACTTTAGAAAAATAGAAACTTTTTTCCTGGACACCAGGGTTAAGCAGAAAATTGAAACAAGGGCTGGGTATTATTTTCTGTCATTATAAGTTCCCAATGTTCTAAATCCTCCAGTGCCTGAAAATGCAGTTTAAATGATTTTTTTTAAAGTTCTCTGCGGCTTGTAGCTTGAGCTTTAGCTCACACTGATTTTTACAGCTAAATAATAAAGCTGCAACAAAGGGGTTTAATAAAGGAAGTGCAGGCAGTGCTGGTCGGAGGCCATTCTGAATGTTCCCTGTTGTGATAGGAGATCTTACTGAGAAGGCCCAATCAGTCAGAACCACGAGCCACCGAGGAATCTTGATCAGGCAGACATTAGACCAGGTCGGATGGTAAGAATCCCTCCATTTATGCAGCTTGTTCGGACTAGACAGTCCTGAAGCTTCCACGTAGCAAAAGCATTCACCATCTCATGGGAGAGGTATTTAAGGAAAATCGGCCCCCAAATCACTGTGCCATTGTCACAGGCTCCTATCCAGTCCATAGAAAGGCTAACGTAGAGCTATTTTTAAAGAATGTTAATGAGACAAAACTTAGGCACATAAAAAATAAAGAATGTTAAAAAAAATCTCTTGTCTCTTCATCAGGCAGTGAATTTAGCTCTTTGTATTTTTTTTAAGTGTGAGATAATCTAAGTGAATTAAATGTGAACTTGGCTGGTTTCTGGACGCACAGGCAAGTTCTCTCGTCCTGCTCACCCACCTAATGCATGGACAGTTAAGGGTGACGGTCTTGTCAGGAGCTGCCCTGCCTGTCCCCTCATGGATGGATGGAGAGTGAGGGAAGAGCTTGGCTTGCACTTGGAGATGGTGAACAAAAGGCAGAGATGGGCTAAGAGGAAAGCAGCACCAGTGATCTCTCTGTGGGTCACAGTCCTTGGCCCAGGGCAGGCTGCATTTCCCAGCATGGTCTTCCCGGGGCGCCCTGGAGACCTCTCCTGACACCTGCTGTTGGGTTTGTCATCCCCTCCTCTGTCTCTGGCATTAGTCCTGAACTCCTTGAGGGTGGAAGCTTTGGTCTTTTCCCCTGGGTACCTCCACAGTGCTCAGGACAACGCCCACTGACGTCCTTCTGTTCATGGATAACACAGGCGAATGGCAAAAGCATCAGAGAGCAGTGCTGCGGGGTCCTGGGATCCTAGGCGGCGAGGAAGCAAGAGGGTTCCAGGGCAATTCTTTGTTTTTAAACCTACCTGGCAGCAGCAGCAGCATCCTCGACTCCGGGCAGCTCTGAGTTTTCAGTTCCCACCTCTGCCTGTGACAGAGGCTGGAAGGGCCTGGGAGGGAGGACAGGGCACGTCCAGGCTGTGGTCTTCTGGTCACAGCTGCTGGGGAGAAGCCCTTTGCTCCTCGGGAAGGGTAATGGAAGAGATGGGAGGTCAGCCTTGCAGGGGGCCTGTGTCACAGCAGCTTTTTCTCTATGCCTCTCTGTTTTCATGCTGTACAGACAACACATGCTTCCCACCTCTTTGGAATAGAGAATATTTGGGAGAGTAACAGTTAAAAGATTTCATGGAAGTAGAGGTTTGCACTGCAGGAAGAATCTAGAATGTATGTTCTCCTTTCTCAAGAGGCAAAGGATGTGGGTGAGCTACACAGACTTGGCATTAAGTTCTCTGAGATCCTCCGAGGGAGGCAAAGTCTACCCCCAACACACTGTGTGTCTCCCTCTTTAAAAAATTGATTCCATTACTGAAGAAAGAGCTGAGAGAAAGAAGCCCAGGACATGGGTGATATTTTCTGCCGAGGCTTTCAAAAAGCATTTGATAAAGTATCATATAGAGGCCTTACATGAAAGTGAGGATTTATGAATTGCAGAAAAAAAGAAGTCACTTGAAAATGAGGTGGAGAAGAGAGCAAGGAGCTGTGATTAGTCACCATGACAGACAGTCGAAAAATAGGACTCGTTGTGGCTGGTTTACGGAGCTGTCCCTCATCCGCTGACAGCAGGCCCTGCCGCTGCCATAAGTCACAGCTGAAGGAGGCTGAAGTTTCTCAGGTGTGAGTGCCTTGGTTTCTCCAGGCTCCGCCGGCCAGCAGGGTCATCTGAAGGACGCCCGTGGCAGGAGGAATGGCTCTGAGCATCCAGGGCGTGGACTAGAGGAGCCAGCACAGCCACTGACGTGGTTTGGATTTGTGTCCCCACCCAAACCTCATGTCTAATTGTAACCCCCAGTGTTGGAGGAGAAGTCTGGTGGGAGGGGACTGTATCATGGGGGCGGATTTCCTCCTTGCTGTTTGCTGTTCTCGTGATAGTGAGTGAGTGCTCACGAGATGTGGTTGTTTAAAAGTGTGTGGCTCCGCCCCCTTTGCCCTCTTCTTGCTGCTCTGGCTATGGAAGACGTGCCTGCTTCCCCTTCGTCTTCCACCATGATTGTAAGTTTCCTGAGGCCTCCCAGCCATGCTTCCGCACAGCCTGCAGAACTGTAAGCCAATTAGACCTTTTTCTTTATAAGTTACCCAGCCTCAGGTAGTTGTTTACAGCAGCATGAGAATGGACTGACACAGCCCTTGTGCCTGCTCTGATGCCTGATCTCGGCAGCCTCGGGGGCTTTTCCCAGGGTCTGCTGGTCTCTGTGGCTTGGGGAGATGGGCATTAGGAGGGTGCAATGACAGGTGGCCGGCGCTCTGTTCACCTGGGAATATTTGGCCTTCAGGACTGGGATGCTCTTCTTCAGGTCCTGATGACACCAGGATCCCTCTCACAACTTAAAGCATGAGCAATTTTGGGGAAGACCAGGTTTGTTTTGTCCCCTTCTGGGTTCCGCCAGTTCCAGGGCTATGGTCTCACTGTGACCTCAGTGCACTCTGTTCTTGGAGGTGGAGCCAGGCTGAGAAACCTCACTGTGGCCCTGGCCTCCCCAGAGCCAGGCCTTCACTTACCTGGTGTGCTACCGTATGCTCGCGTGGGTCTTCCTTCCATGCACATGCTGTTATATTTCCAGGGCTTGGGAGCTGGCAGGGGGCAGAAGTGACAGCGTGGTTCCCACAGCTGTTTGTGGGCATTTTATTACTGCTGGCTGACGTGGTTGGGATGTGTTCCTCCAAATCTCATGTTGAAACGTGGCCCTGTGTCCTCAGTGTTGGAGGTGGGCCTGGAGGGAGATGCATGGGTCATGGGGGCACTCACTCATGAATGGCTTGGTGCCCTCCCCTTGGTGATGAATGAGTTCTTGCTTTGAGTTCAATCAAGAGCTGTTGTTTAAAGGAGGCTGGCACCTCCTCCTCTCTCTCCTGTTCCCTCTCTTGCCATGGGAAGGCTCCCCCTTCACCTTCTGCTGTGGTTAAAAGCTTCCTGGGCCTCACCAAAAGCCAGTGCTGATGCCATGCTTGTACAGCCTGCAGAACCGTAAGCAAAAATAAACCTTTTTTCTTTTTAAATTACCCGGCCTCAGGTGTTCCTTTATGGCAATGCAAAAGGGACTAAGATACCATCTGTTCCTAAGTCCCCTGGCTTCTTTTATCAAGTGCAGGATCTCATAAAAGCGCTCTCAGTGGCACCGAGTGGCCCAGTCAGGGCAGAATCATCTCAGAACAGTCAAGTCAAGGTTTTTCTCAGATAAGAGGGCATGTTCCCAGTGTGCACAGAGTAGCTTCTGAAACACACGAGGACATGAATCAGCAAGCAAATGCCCTCCGTCGCACACTCATTTCCTAGCTGTTCTGGTCTGTGTGTGAGAAGTCATTTCAAATGAGCAATGCATTTCCTGGGGAAGAGAAAGAAGAGGACGTGGAAAATAATTCGTGTTGTAATTGGCAACAGTAGAGAAGAACCTTTTCAAGAAAGAGCCACTTAACTTTTATGTTTTGCGTCATCCCCACAAGAGATTCACAAAAGATAAAAGCGGTATCTCTCTTCTTAGCACACTTGAGTCATTGGAGATTCTGGCAAAATCTAATCCACATCTTCACCTAGTTATAGATGAAGACTCAGGACCTTGCCTCCCTTAAAGATTTGTCGACCTGAACTTTGCAGTTAATGCCTCTTCTTTACGACATTTGAAGGTATCTTTTCAGGGGACTGATTTCACACTGACCATATAAAAAGTCATTGCAGGAACTCCCAGCCCTCTTCCTGGGATATTGACGGGTGGCCAGAGTTTCACCCTCCAGAGGCCTAAGACCAGAAGAAAGCTCCAAACTGTGAGGAAAGGCAGCAAGTTAGGGATTTAGAAACCAATTTGAAGGGATGTATGTGTAGAATATCAGTAGCTAAGACAGGAAGAGACAGAACAAGGCCACTACCCAGGCAAATGCAACCCGCCTCACATGACTGCCACATTGCATGCTCAGTCATGATATAGACATCGCTCCCCACTGCAGAACTCCTCATCCATTCGTTCATTTGCTTTTATTTTTGTTGCCAGTTCATTCTTTGGCACTATATGCCGTAGAATTGACTCTGCGTTTCTATCTCCAGAGGACCAGGTTTATCAAACAGACAACCATTAATTAAAATTGAAGAAAAAAAACGTCCTTAAAAAGAGTGTATCTTTGGAAACTAAGCTCTGGAGTACTGGAAATCATTCTGTTAGCACGAACCTGCCCAGGCAACATCATCTGAGAAGTAGACTCTTTAACGCAGCCATATGTCGTCAATGATGAACAGCAGATATGAACAGGGTCCCATGAGACTATAATACCATATTGTTGCTGTATCTTTCCTATGTGTAGATCTGTTTAGATACACAAATTGGTTACCATTGCCTATGGTATTCAGTACAGCCACATGCTGCACAGGTGCATGACCTAGGAGCAATGGGTAAACCTGGTGTGTGGTAGGCTACGCCATCCAGGCTTGTATAAAATTCACTCTGTGATGTTTACACAACCATGGAATCAACCGACAATGCATTTCTCAGAATGTATTCCTCTCATTAAGTGACAAGGACTGTACTATAATATTATTAAAAAGCATCAGAAGGGGCAAGATTAATATATTTTGAAGGTAGTAAAAATTTAGGGCCAGGCCTGGTGGCTCACATCTGTAATCCCAGAACTTTGGGAGGCTGAGGTTGGAGGATTTGTTTGAGCCTAGGAGTTTGAGACCAGACTGGGCAACATAGTGAGACCCCATCTCTACAAAAAATACAAAAATTAGACAGGTGTGGTGGTATGTGCCTGCAGTTCCAGCTGCTCAGGAAGCTGAGATGGGAGGATCGCTTGAGCCCAGGAGTTCCAGGTTACAGTGAACCATGATCACACTACTGCACCCCAGCCTGGGCAACAGAGCAAGACCCTTTCTCAAAAAAAAAAGTTGGACTTGCTTGCTAATGTTCAATATTTACTTGGATGGTAAATATTTCACCAAGACAGGTGACTTCCCATATCTCACAAAAGAGCATCATTGCTGTTATAAACTTAAAAATTGGTTGGAAATCAACCCCCTACCAATGATTTAATTTCCTTCATCAAATCCACATTTTTTGGCTATGAACCCCAAAGGGAAATTCCACAGACCTGAGCACAATTTGATGGAATATTTTGCTGCCTCCTTTCCTCACGCCCATGGACCGAGCCCTTGGTTTGCAGAAACCTGTGGAATGGAGTGCTATTTTGGATGACGGTGGGTACGTGGAAAGCTCCTGCTTTGCTATTGCCAGAGACCGACACTCAGCTCTGCTTTCCTGTCCCCGCTCCATGGCCTCAGCAGAAACAGCATCCAAGGGAGCCGCGGTCACTCGTCACTCCTGTTCCCAGACGGATCACACAGCGAAGGCTCTGCAGCTTTGGTTGAGGTCTTTCAGATGCGCAAAGCTCGATCCGCTGGCGTTGCTTGTCTCCAGCCTGCACGAGGAGCCACAGGCATCCAGGCCTTGTCACGCTGAGTCTCTTTCTTCCCATTGGGATTGCACTCTCCGTCTCATCACAAGCTCCTCCTGCCTCCTCTCAGCCTCTCCCCAGGCTGTTGCTCCTCTGTTACTCTTTTGCTGGTAGCTTTTGTGGCTCCTCAGAGTTCTGGCACGCTGCACGTTGCGTGCTCAGCTCAGCCAAGCCTCCCAGAAGGAGGCTTTCAAAAAGAAAATGTTATTTATTTGGGAATAGGTCATTGAAATGAGAATACGTACAACATAGTAAGTTACACATTTGTTTAGGGAAGTAAAGGAAGACAAAGGCTTTTTAAAGAAAAAAAATGATGATTACATATGGCTTCTTCCTTCCCATCCTGGATGTTTAAAGAGGGGAGAAACATGCTGTCCTTCTGGAAGCTTCTCTCCTGTCTTTTTTAGACAGTTCAAGAGGAGGCATTGACTTAGACATTTTCATTTCTACTAAAAGTTCATCCTTTTCTCATATAATAAATTCAAACATGTGTTGATAACTGCACGTTGAGTGTGAGCATTATTGTGCAATGGCTGATTATTTTGGGGTACTTACTATATGCTAATGAGATATCATGTGTGTTCTTTGCAAAAATGCCAAAAAGTTAGTTCTAAGTATTCCCCTATTGTAATTTGGACTGGTGAGACGGCATAGATGTAGTGAGCTGCCAAGTTCCCCATGCCAGTAAGTGCAGAGTCAGGCCTACAATTCAATCAGTTCTGTTCATTGTGTCCTTGTTCCAAAGCATGAGCTGTGCAGGGTCGCCCCTGAGTATTCTCCTCCCCTCTTCTCCAGTACTGGTCTCCCAAGGCTTATATATGCTTGAAGGCGAGCAAAATAGAACACAAATCCTGCATTTATTTTGACAATTATATCAACCTAAATAACAAACAGAAGGAGGCTGTCTAAAATAAAATGATATTTATTTGGGAATAGGGCATTGCCATGAGAATCCGTACACCATAGTAACCTATGTGCTTATTCAGGAAAGTAAAAGAAGAAAAAGATTTTTACAGAGAAAAAAATGAGGATTTCATAATTATTTTGAGATAATTAATCTTGGCTACAAAGATTACTACCAGAGGTGACGCCAGCCCGAATTTGGACAGGCAATTGCTGGGCAGATGTCCTTGCAGAAGTATTTTTTGTGTAAGGTTTCCATGGATAGGCTTTGTGTAAAGTTGTGTTTTTTTGTAGAGTCTTTTTGGTTATCAGGCACACAAGCATGAGAACGCTGTCTTCATGGCCTTCGCAGACTCCGTTTGTCAGGGTTTTCTTAACATTAGTGACTCCATCTTGATTTTACAACTTTCACAATTATATACATACAACTATGATGAAAATATAGGTTCATAGCAATTATTGATCATGAGTGGAGTTATTTAGGGTGCAATGAATTAGCCTAGAGAAGTCCCAGAAGCAGCAGCACAAGAAAGCAACCAAATGCGTTAGAACAATTATGCAGCCAAAAAAAAAGAAAAGCTGAAAAATTCAGGAAGATTTGTCTAACGAAGACCTCGGCGGTCGGAGTTCCTGCCTCCCAGGATGGAGATAGTGTTTTTGATGACAGACCCGCAGTGAGCGGAGACTACTGCGTGCCGTGCTTAGAGCTGCGTGTCACACCTCATTCAAGCCTCACAGTCCCGCCAGCGCACTCTTCACTTAAAGATGAGCCGTGGATGCCCATCGCCCTTCGGGAACCCAATGCTTGTTCCTGGTCCCCCCACGGGTCTGATGCTACATGCAGTGAACCAAACCTTTCTCGGTTTGCTGACATTTGACTTTTCTTTATCTCCTTTTCCCCTCTTTTCACCTTTCTCTGTCTCTCTGCTTTTCTCTCCTCTTTCTCTTTCACACCTACAACAGAGTGTGTTCTCAAGTGGGTCATCTCTGGGCCGCTCAGAATTGTCTTTAGACTGAGAACAAATCTATCTATTTATTTATTTATTTTTATTTATTTACTTATTTATTGAGACGGAGTTTCCCTCTTGTCACCCAGGCTGGAGTGCAATGGTGCGATCTCCGCTCACTGTAACCTCTACCTCCCACGTTCAAACGATTCTCCTGCCTCAGCCTCCCGAGCAGCTGGGATTGCAGGCGCCCGCCACCACGGCTGGCTAATTTTTGTGCTTTTAGTACAGATGCGGTTTCACCATATTGGTCAGGCTGGTCTCGAACTCCTGACCTCAAGTGAGCCGCCTACCTCGGCCTCCCAAGTGCTGGGATTACAGGCATGAGCCACCTCGCGCAACCCGAATGAATTTATTTTGAAGGAATCAACTGGCACCTCCAAGGATGGTTTTGACAGCTGTATCCTGGTGAGTTCTCACCGAATTTGATTTCTGAATCTTCAACCTTAAGCCGAACGCTTTGTGCCATGACCCTGCTGTGATCTCACACTTCCTCAGTCGTGCCAGGCGGCCCGATGGTGTTCTTGGCACCAAGATCTTCTCATTTCAAGATATTAAATTCATCTTACATTTGTGCTTTTCTTTATTTGTCAATTCCAGAGTATTGCCTCATTCTGTCACTTTCTCTATAATGCAGTGTATTTTGCAATCTCCTCCATGAATCACAGATTTCATGAAATGAAAATGTAGAGAACACTTCTCTTTGCCTTTGGGTAGTTTTGTTTGTTTTTGTCAAGTATGTTAAATATAATATGGAAATCTTAATTATTCCTTTTCCATTTTGTGGTACGTGTGTCTGTGGAGGGTGTCTGTGTATTTATTTATTTTTGATACAGGGTCTTGCTCTGTCACCCAGGCTGGGGTGCAGTGGCTTGATCTCGGCTCACTGTAGCCTCTGCCTCCTGGGTTCAAGCAATTCTCCTGCCTCAGCTTCCCGAGTAGCTGGGACTACAGGCATCTGCCACCACACCTGGCTAATTTTTGTATTTTTAGTAGAGATGGGGTTTCACCATGCTGGCCAGGCCAGTCTCAAACTCCTGACTTCATGATCTTCCAGCCTCGGCCTCGCAAAGTGCTGAGATTACAGGTTGAGCCACCATTCCCGGCCATATTTATTTATTTTTTGAGTCAATATGCTTATCAGCATTCCATCTTGAAAGTTCTAAAGAAGGTTTTTTTTTGAGAAAAACATATTTGGAAGAAACAATGCTTCAAAGAAAATAAGTAGTTTTCTTCATGCTAACAGAGAAGTTATGTGTGAGGTATAAAATACTGTGACTAATGACACATTAGGTAGGCTAAACTAGAATTGATTGTTGTCTTACCAAACTATAAATATGTTTAAAAGTGAGGATATAAGAAATATTATTTAAAGTATTATTATTAGCATTTCTTGATGTTAATAAAATGATAGAGTCACTTTAAAAATAATGACCCATTGCATAATATTGAACACTTAGCATTACTCAAAGGAGGTGTCGCTCTTTTCATTTTTACTTTATTATTGCTTGTTTATTATTATATGTTTATTATTATGTTATTATTGTTTGTTTGTTCGTTTATAGATAGAGTCTCACTCTGCTGTCCAGGCTGGAGTGCAGTGGTGTAATCATAGCTCACTGTACCCTCAAACTTCTAGGCTCAAGTGATCCTCCTGCCTCAGCCTCCTGAGTATAGGTGCATTTAGAGACAATAAGTGCACACCACCAGGCCTGGCTAATTTTTAAGTTCTTTGTAGAGGCAGGGGTCTCATCATGTTGCCCAGACTCATCTTGAACTCCTGGCCTCAGGCGATTCTCCTGCCGCAGCCTCCCATGTATTGAAAGCCAATTTAGAGAGGAGACATTGGGGGAAAAGAGTCCTGTGAAATGAAACTAAGATCTAAGTGGTGAAATACGGTATCAGAAATATAATTGACATCCTTAAGGTGTATTCAAGATTATGCCCAGGAGATCTGGCTGATTACCCTACTATTTTACTAAAATCACCCGGATGGTATGCAGTTCACTGGTTAATTCGTTTTAATGTGGGTTCCAACGAAATGAGAATGTAAACTAAACATGGTAGGAGATGTCCAGATTTTGAATTAATATACTTTGTGTTTTTAAAATTTTTAGTTAAAGCAGGCTCTCAAACTCCAGCTTTGAAGTATGATTGTGTGAGTCAGTTCAAGATCTGAATCTGGTTTCCACCTCCTTTTGTGAAAAGTCTCAATGTTCTTCAGACCCAGCGAGAGACACCGGCCACCCATGATTAACGTGTCTGAGGGTGGCTGCCTGCGAGAGTGCCGTTTAGACCACAGAGCCATGACATTGTGAGGGGCAGCAGGCCTGGGGGTGTCCTGCCAACCTCTTGCTTTGACTCCCGCCTTCGGAGGAGGGTGAGGGTCCTGACCACCCTCTATGACAAAAAGGGCTGTTCCCTCACTCTTCTCATTTCCCAGTTCAGACCACTGGCTTTTAACCACCTTCAAAGCACATTCACAATGATCTTCCCCTTCTGAAAATCTTGTATATTCTCTGTATAAGACCACTTTGTGAACACACAGGTGCACACACACATGTGCACACACACGAATGCACAGACACACATGCACACGCAGTGGGGGATGTCTGATTTCTCCCCCAGGCTTTTCTAGGGCCCTGGTGATGAGGAAATGAAATGCCTCTCTGGGCTCAGCTCACTTCGGAAAGGCTTATCTTATCTGACACAATCACAAAACCATAAAATTAAAAGTGAGTCCCTAGGCGGAGGTCTGCTCTGTGTCCTGGCTTAGCAGCCAGAGCCCATGGGACCCTTCACGTGGCAGCAGTGTGCCACTGATCCCGATTTCCACGCAGCTCAGTTCAGAAGACAAAACTGCTTTTCTTTAGTGAAAGCCACATTTTTCGTTTTCTTCTTCTTAAACAGGCTGAGTTTGCCTGGGCCCCTCGTCTCACTACTGTGAGGTGTGGGGATTTCTTTAAGACTCGGTGTCCTTCTTTGTTATGAGAAGGAAATGAAATCCAGTATTTGCCTAGTCCAGAGTCTGGAAAACTCAAAGAGCTGAGTAAATGGCACCGCTGCTGGGGTTACCGGAGCTCTCGTGGACTCTGCCTGGCCGCCCTGCCCACTCTTCCAGTGTCCTGGCGTTGCTGCCCCTGCTCCTTGGGATTTCTTTTTTTTTTTTTTTAATTATTATTATACTTTAAGTTTTAGGGTACATGTGCACATTGTGCAGGTTAGTTACATACGTATACATGTGCCATGCTGGTGCGCTGCACCCACTAACTCGTCATCTAGCATTAGGTATATCTCCCAATGCTTTCCCTCCCCCCTCCCCCCACCCCACCACAGTTCCCAGAGTGTGATATTCCCCTTCCTTGGGATTTCAATCGCGGTCTGCAATCAGTCCCCTGCAGGAAGGCCCTGGATCTCGGCAGGCCCTGGATCCGCTGTCAGGGGACTCCGGTTCTTCGAGTGTGTGTCCTGATTCCCAGACGGCAGCGCTCTGGCTGCCGGGAGGCGGGCGAGGTGAGACCCAGTGCCAGAATGCCCTCCGTGCTGCTGTGGGGGACCCTCGCCCGTTCAGAGCCACCTGGCTGAGAAGAGAAGCCTGGAGCAATCCCTCCATGCTAGAGGAGACAGCGGGCGGAGGAAACCAAAGGCAGCAGCCACCTTTTTCAGCCAGAGCGCCGGGCAGGTGGCCCTCCGGACTCCAGGCCATGAGGGTTCACTGGAGGAGACGCTGCCCGTGAGGCTGCCTCCCGGGTTCGTGGGCCACCAGCTCCCTGTGGGAGGGGGCTCCGGAGGAGTTTCCCCTTCCGCCCCATCTCCCGCCGCCCTGCTCTGCTCCCCTGAACGCTGCCGGTGGCTGTGCAACCATCGTTCCAATCATAGTCATTTAGAAAACGACGTAGGAATGATGCTTAATTAGCATGCAGCACGGTGACAATTACGTATGCATCAAATGTGTCGGGGAAACTTTGTTGCTCATTTTCTCTGATTAAGACGCTGGAAGCTGTTCGCTTACGCCTGGCTTTTGCGGCTTGGTGACCACGTACGGTGGTGCTGTTCTCATCTGAGTCCTCTCTGAGGCTCTGAATGGCCATGCGGGTCTTTATTCAGATGGGGAGTCTGCCCTTCATCTACGGGGCCCTCTGTGCAGCTTCTGTTGCCGTTGGTTTAGGGCCATAATTTTCCTTTCTAGGGAAATGGAAAGCTACTCTAACATTCTGGAGGCAGAGTTAGGGAGCCCTTCTTTTCCGCTTCTCAGCGCTTTATAATCATTTAGTATGTCGCATTCACAGGACATTGATTAGTCCCGGAAAAGCAAAGTACCATAAAGGATGCTGTGTACATGGCAACCACACAGAACACAGGAATTCTCAGGGGCGGTGGGCAGGATGGTCGGCCTGCCCATACGGCTGTCGTAACACTAGGGGAAGTCAGAAATATCACTGTCCGCGGTGGCTCACGCCTGTAATCCCAGCACTTTGGGAGGCCAAGGTGAGTGGATCACAAGGTTAGGAGATCGAGACCATCCTGGCCAACATGATGAAACCCCGTCTCTACTAAAACACAAAAAATTAGCTGGGTGTGGTGGCACGTGCCTGTAATCCCAGCTACTCAGGAGGCTGAGACAGGAGAATCGCTTGAACCCAAGAGGTGGAGGTTGCAGTGAGCTGAGATCATGCCACTGCACTCTAGCCTGGGTGACAGAGTGAGACTCTGTTAAAAAAAAAAAATCACTGTCAAAAGGACAGTGAAAAACTCAGGCAAGAGTATTTGAACCACATATACATTAACTACATGGTGGTCTACAATGAGCTCCAGCCTGGTTACATCTGATCCACCTTGAGGGATAAATAGTGAGCCCCTGATACTGAATTCCAGCGCCCTTTGCATTGCCTCAGTGTGGTCTAGAAACTCTCTTCTCACCCATCTGCCTCACCCTTTGGTTGCAGCACAAGCATTGCTGTGTGTGCATGTGTGTTTGTGTGTGTGCATGTTGCATGTGTGCGTGCGCTTGTGTGTGTATATGTATGTATGTGATGTATGCTTGTATGTGCATGTGTGTTTGTGTGAGCTTGTGTGTATATGTATGTGTGTATGTGTGCTTGTGTGTGCACGTGTATACGTTTGTGTATATGTGTGTGCG